>NC_000024.10:5742405-6042815 GCF_000001405.40 Homo sapiens | reverse complement strand
AATGAATATATATGACTAGAAAGACAGAATTATTGTGTGTTCACCAGTGTACGTGTAATAGATATTGTGTGTAACGACAAAAGCAATATTGGCAAAGAAACGTATTTATTCATATAAGGTCCTAATTTTAATTTTTAAATAATTCCTAAATCTATATTTACTTGATGATCAGCATTAGAATGAGACAGTAATTAGGTAAAATGAGAACATTTTTACACATCCTCCTATCTGTTAATTTGAGCTGGTATGATCTAGTGTCTATTATTTTAAATATGCTCTCCAAAAATATAATATACTCATAAGAAGTGTAATATATTCTGAAGCCATGTTTACCATTGCTTTTAGATTTTCAAAACTCTCTTCAATCCTTTTATATTCCAGCATCCTCATCTATGAGTATTTTTATTGCTTTTAAATAACATGAAATATGTCGATAATTGTTTTCCACATCTTAAGTCTATGTACATGCAAGAAATTATTTTAAATACCTTCACACATAAATGAAAACTCCGGAGTATAAAATTCATGGGTGATACCTTTCACTCATCAAAACCCTGTAAGCATACACTATGCATCAAATATCTTTATTATTTTAAATAACCTAATTTCATAATTTTATAGCAATACTATACTGTTTTAATTATAGTGGCTTTCTGATACATTCTATAGCTACTAAGGCAAGTTCTATTTGCCTTTTCTACTATTTTATTGGATATACTCAGGCATTTATTATATAGTCTTTTAAATTATTTTTAACCAATTTTAAGAATTCTAGCTCTCAGTAGTTGTATTCTAACTGAAAGTTCATTAAATTTGTAAATTAATTTTGGCATCGTTAATATTTTTATAATATGTACTTCATTTTTAAAAACTTTTTTTCAAGTTGCTCAGGTATTGTTTTATGTCCTTCACTTTGATTCTTTTGTAGCAGTTTTATTGAGACATAATTCACATACCAAACAATTTACCCACTGAAATTATACAATTCAATGGTTTTTAGTGTATTCCCAAAGTTGTGAAATCATTATCACAATCAATTTTAGAACATTATTATCATCCTAAAAAGAACCACGACACACTTAAAGTATTTCTCCCCAATCCTCATTCATCCCAGTCCTAGGCAACCATTAATACTTTATGTCTCTACACACTTGCCTATTCTGGATACTTAATATAAATAGAATCATATTATATGTGGTCTTTTGTGACTGGCTTCTTTCACTTAGCATAATGTTTTCAAGGTCCATCTGAGTTTAAGCATCTGTTAACATTTCATTCTTTTTATTGCTGAATGATATTCCGTTAAATGGATTTACAACATACTGATAATTCATTCATTGATAAACATTTGAGTTGTTTCCACCTTTTGGCTACTGTGAATATTATAAACATTCATGAACAAATTTTTGTGTGAACATATCTTTTTATTTCTCTTGGGCCTATATCTTGGAATAGAATTGCTGGGTCATATTATAAACCTATGTTTAAGCATTTTAGAAGCTTTAGACTATTTTCAAAGTGGCTACACCATTTTACATTCCTACCAGCAGTGTATGATGATTTCAATTTTTCCACATGCTTGTCAAGACTTATCTTTTGGATTATAGCCATTCTATTTGTAATGAAGTGGTACCTCATTGTGGTTTTGATTTGCATTTTTCTAATGGCCACTGATATTAAGCATCTTTTCACATGCTTATTGTCCTCTTGTATATATTCTTTTGAGAAACATCTATTCAAATATTTTGCCCATATTTTAATCTGATTATTTGTCTTTGTATTATTAAGTTCTAGGAGTTATGATTTGCAAATATCTTCTCCCATACTTTTTCCCATTCCGTGGTCTATATTTTTCCTTACTTGATGGTATCATTTGTAGCACAAAAGTTTAATTTTGATGAAGTCCGATTTATCTATGTTTTCTATGCTCTTTCACAATAGGTACAGAAGAGTTCCAATTAGCAAAAGAGGGCTTGCTCTAATGTGCAAATACTTTTAAAGTCTCTGCTTGTATTATATTTAATAATATTCAAATAGCCAAAACAATTCACATGACCAAGGTGAAATTCAAAGGGTACAAATATAGATTTAACTTCTTAATGGGAGGAGCTACATAATATTGTGGCTGATTGTGATAATCTATCACATCCTTTAAAAAGTGAAATTTCCACTCTGATTTTTCATTCCATAACTGACAAACAGGAAATTGATGTTTCTTTTAGTCCAGTTCACTATGCCTTTTTGGAAACTAGAAATCATACTTTTGGCTTTTCACTCTCAAGAGTCAAAAGAACAGTTATATTGCCTTTGGCTCATCTATAACTAGCTTGTCCTATTACCTACCGCTAAGAATTCAGCATACTTTTAGAATGAACCACTTCAGATATAACATTTTCCTGTGACTATACCTTTTTAAGGATACCTATTTAGCTTGTCTTATAGTTATATATAAATACTTTCCTCTGCTATTTGATTATAAATAACTTTGAGGGAGGAGGTCATATATTATTTCTCTTTCTATGACACTCTTTCACAAGATCCTTTCTCTTGTACTTTTCCTATATTTGTGGAAAACACTTGTCTTTTTATTCAGGTATAAGGTTTGGGTATGCAGGTGTTTAATAATTATTCGTTCACCACAATTAAATTTAGATTAGGCTTGTGGGTGTTACTATAGATTTCTCATACCTGTGCAAACTCCATTAATTACCAACTTCTTTCAACAGACTGGTCTAGTAGGAAGATCCAACCACTGATCTTGAATTGTATATACAGCTCTTCTGTATGTTTACTTGAAGCTGTCAACACATTGTAGCTATATTCAGATGAAGGGCATATGAAAAACATTAATAGGTTTCTAGTTTCTCCATTATTTGTTACTGATGACTCTCTCTTTCACTTTCTCTCTGTACACAGTCATCCTCTGATATCCATCAGAGATTGATTCTATAACCCATCCCCACAGATATGCTCCACAGATACAAATATCCACAGGTGCTCAAATTCCATATAAAATGATGAAATACTTGCATATAATCTATGCACATACTTCCATATGTTTTGAATCATTTCTAGATTACTTATAATACCTAATACAATATAAATACTATGTAAATAGTTGTTTTAGTGTATTATTTAAAGAATAATGACAGGAATTAGTACAGATGCAATCATCTATTTTTTTCCCAATGCTTTTTCAGCCACAGTTGGTTGTATCTATTAATTTGAAACCCACAGATAAGGAGGGTTGACCATGTGTGTGTATGTGCGTGTGTGTGTGCATGCACATGTATTAGATCAAGCTTATTAATTTTGTTGCTCCAATATTCCATATCCTTACTAATTTAAAATGTTTGTTCTCTGAATTATCCAATTAGAAAGAAAAAACAGGTAGAAGTAATATTTCTATACCTAAGGAAAAATATGTAACATGAGTCTTATTTATCAAAATGATATGAAGAGTCCTTCAAAAATCAGTAAGTAGGTGATTGGTGAGTGTGATATGGCATGTTTTAATTAATATTAAAGTTTTATGCATTATAAAATGATATACAGTATTTATCACAATTTATTGCCTAAAGCTTATGCTAAAAATAATTACAGTATCATTATCATTATTACTGTTATCATCATCATTGACATGCTTATCATCATAATCATTGATACCATTTATTGAGTTTTATTCTATAGTAGACACTGTGCTGAATATTTTATATATACTACATCATTAATTTCTAGAAAAGTCCTCTGAAAAGGTACTAAGATAACAGCTATTTTTAGACAAGGAAACTAAAGCTAAGTGATTATGTGGCATGTTCTAACTCAAATAGCTAACTGTTCCAGAGCCAAGTCTGAAAATTAGTGTGTCTGATTTTAAAGCCTACACATACTTCTGTACCTAGCCAGGTTGGTTTTTTACACATTTTCCCACAAAGATCATCCTTCCATTTATAGCAGTAGTGTCGTGTGTGTGTGTGTGTGTGCGTGTGTGTGTGTGTGCTTGCATGTTTCTCCCTGTGACCATATTCTCAAGCCACAGACACCTTTCCTTTCTTTGATCCTCATACCTGAACCTGGTTCACACAGACCGGGCTGATCTATTCAATCTGTGCTTTTCTTTCATGATTGCACACAGAGGTAAAACTGCAGAGAATGCAGTTTTTCTTGCTCCCTCTGTCTATCTACCTGGAAGATTTCCTTCAGGCTATAGCCATTTCACTGGGGTCCAAATCAAGCAAGGAATCATGACCTGAAGTTACAACCTGAGAAGAAAACAAAGAAGGTCCAAATAAGGAATTTGTTTCAAAACTGTTCTTTCACACTTCTGCAAATAACCCCAAATAAGGAACTATTTTTTCCCTCTAGGGCAGAATATCATTAATTCACAATATAGGCGAAAAGCAAGATTCTAACTGTACCAGGGTAGATAACCCTAATCTCATATCGAGGTTCCAACAAAAGGGTAAAAAAATCTAAACCTAGTATTTCTGGACCTCTCAGGCTTTGCGAGACATTTTTCTGCTGAATTTGACTTCTATGTGCTTTCTTAAGTTTAAGAACCTATTTTCCCCTAATATTGCATATGTTTTACTCAGTGTCATTATTACCCAGAATCTCTTTTGATCTATTTTTCTAACCCTAACAAATACATGCTCAATTAATTACATCATACGAAGATAAATTTATTCATAACTACTTGATGTATTTCCAACCCAAGTGTATCTGCATGTTAATAAAAATCAACATTCATTGCTTACAGGCAAATTACAAAATTTCAAGTGTTAGCCTCCCTGTAAGCATTAGTCTTCTTCCTGACCCTCAAATTGCATCATTTAACTGCATCACTTACAAAGTTCACTGACAAGACTATTCCATCATAACACACATAACATTTTTAGTTGCTCTTATATTTGTTCTTTTTTGCACCCTGCAAAGATTCTTTTTTTTTTTTTTTTTTTTTTTTTTTGAGACGGAGTCTCGCTGGGTCTCCCAGGTTGGAGTGCAGTGGCGCGATCTCGGCTCACTGCAAGCTCCGCCTCTCAGGTTCATGCCATTCTCCTGTCTCAGCCTCCCAAGTAGCTGGTACTACAGGCACCCGCCAACACGCCCGGCTAATTTTTTGTATTTTTAGTAGAAACGGGGTTTCACCGTGTTAGCCAAGATGGTCTCGATCTCCTGACCTCGTGATCCGCCCGTCTCGGCCTCCCAAAGTGCTGGGATTACAGGCGTGAGCCACCGCGCCCGGCCGCAAAGATTCTTACCATTTGATCACCAGAGATTAATTAATGTAGTTTTCTTTCATTATCTGTTTCATAGACATATCTATCTTTATGGAATGAACAGCTTTGCTCCAGGGCTAGTGGAAAATAAGGTTTTGTATATATTAATTTTGGTGAGTCTCTGTTATCACTATTTCTTCATGGAAAAGGTAGGAAAGCCTCTTAGGAGACTGAGAATGAGATGCAGTCTAGTTTAGTAAATATATGCTTGGAGCTGGAAACCATCATTCTCAGCAAACTATCGCAAGGACAAAAAACCTTGCGATCTTTACCTGAGATCAGGTAAAGATTGAAACTATATCACTTGTTCTCATTAGAGGTAGGGCATTAAATAAGTCAATTTAACTCTCCTATACTCATATGATAGTTTAATAAAGTAATGTATGTATGGTGCTTGGCACACAATAAAAACTCAATAGTTGCTCACCAAAACAAAGCAAAAACAGCCACAATGAAAAGTTAGAGGGAACATGGTTTTCATACCGTTATCGAAAACCAGATTGTGTCATCAACCAATTAAACTTCACTGTCCACAGCTAAAATTATATTTGTACATTAATTGTATTTTTAAAAAATAAAAACTGAGATAATGACTAGAACAATTCAGATTCTAGATACAAGTTCTGTTGATTTTAAGTGTTTAAATTTTTCATATAAAATTTGTGCCAGAACTTTGCCAATGTTTGTGTAAATCACAAACTAGCCTTCATGGTTCAGTTTCCATTCTTGATCATTCATTCAATGAGTATTTATATATCATTTACTATGCACCATGACTGTATCAGTTACAAGTAGTATAAGGTTGCACAGTACATTGCTCCTTCCTTCAAGGAATGCAAGACTTAGTAGAAGAGACACATATGTAAACAACTAATAAGAAAAAGTTGCATGTATTCAAATTACTTGTTACAGAAAGTGCAAATGACAAATGTCATAAAACAGGTTGACCTGAGTCATGATAATGATTGTTGTGAAATAGTAAGATTCATAAAATTAGAGGCTGAGCAAGATGGTTGAAAGGAAAGCTTCACCGATTGTCCCCCTCTGCAAAGAAAACTATTTAACAAATATCTACACAGAAAAATCACCTTCACAAGAACCAAATGTCAGATGAGCACTTACAGTAACTGGTTTTAACTTCATATAGCAGAAAGAGGCACTGAAGAGATAGAAAAAAACAGTCCTGAGTGGCTGGAACCACCCCCACCCCCTGCAGCTTCAGCATGGTATGGAGAGCATCTCTGGGCACTGGGGGAGAGAGAACACAATCGTGAGGCATGGAACTCAGTGCTGTCCTATTAGAACAGAAAGGAAAATCAGACCAAACTCAGATGATGCCTGGCTACCAAGGGAGAATTTCAACCAGCCTTAGCCACAGGGGAATTGCTGATAGCTGAGGTCTGAACTTGTGTGCCTTCAAACCTTGCCACCAAGGACCACAACACTCCAAGTAAACTTGAAAGGTAAGGTAGTCTAGGCAATTCTTTTTTGGACTGCAAAAAAATAAGCACTGCAATTCTTTTTTTTTTTTTTTTTTTTTTTTTTTGATTCCTCAGGATTTTCTTTTCTTTCTTTTTTCTTTTTTTAAATTATACTTTAAGTTCTAGGGTACATGTGCACAATGTGCAGGTTTGTTACATATGTATACATGTGCCATGTTGGTGTGCTGCACCCATTAACTTGTCATTTACATTAGGTATATCTCCTAATGCTATCCCTCTCCCCTCCCCCAACCCCACGACAGTCCCCAGTGTGTGATGTTCCCCTTCCTGTGTCCAAGTGTTCTCATTGTTCAATTCCCACCTATGAGTGAGAACATGCGGTGTTTGGTTTTTTGTCCTTGCAATAGTTTGCTGAGAATGATGGTTTCCAGCTTCATCCATGTCCCTACGAAGGACATGAACTCAACCTTTTTTATGACTGCATAGTATTCCATGGTGTATATGTGCCACATTTTCTTAATCCAGTCTATCATTGTTGGACATTTGGGTTGGTTCCAAGTCTTTGCTATTGTGAATAGTGCCGCAATAAACATATGTGTGCATGTGTCTTTATAGCAGCATGTTTTATAGTCCTTTGGATATATACCCAGTAATGGGATGGCTGGGTCAAATGGTATTTCTAGTTCTAGATCCTTGAGGAATCGCCACACTATCTTCCACAATGGTTGAACTAGTTTACAGTCCCACCAACAGTGTAAAAATGTTCCTATTTCTCCACATCCTCTCCAGCACCTGTTGTTTCCTGACTTTTTAATGATAGCCATTCTAACTGGTGTGAGATGGTATCTCATCGTGGTTTTGATTTGCATTTCTCTTGATGGCCAGTGATGATGAGCATTTTTTCATGTGTCTTTTGGCTGCATAAATGTCCTCTTTTGAGAAGTGTCTGTTCATATCCTTTGCCCACTTTTTGATGGGGTTGTTAGTTTTTTTCTTGTAAATTTGTTTGAGTTCTTTGTAGATTCTGAATATTAGCCCTTCGTCAGTGAGTAGATTGCAAAAATTTTCTTCCATTCTGTAGGTTGCCTGTTCACTGTGATGAGCATTTCTTTTGCTTTGCAGAAGCTCTTTAGTTTAATTAGATCCCATTTGTCTATTTTGGCTTTTGTTGCCATTGCTTTTGGTGTTCTAGACATGAAGTCCTTGCCCATGCCCAGAACAGAGCCCTCAGAAATAATACCACACATCTACAACCATCTGATCTTTGACAAACCTGACAAAAACAAGAAGTGGGGAAAGGAGTCCCTATTTAATAAATGGTGCTGGGAAAACTGGCTAGTCATATGTAGAAAGCTCAAACTGGATCCCTTCCTTACACCTTATACAAAAATTAATTCAAGATAGATCAGAGGCTTAAATGTTAGACCTAAAACCGTAAAAACCCTAGAAGAAAACCTAGGCAATACCATTCAGGACTGCAATTCTTAGGTGAGTCCTAGTGCTGAACTAGGCCCAGAGACAGTAAACTGGGGATAAACATGACCTACTGAGACACAAGTTGGGGCAGCCCAAGGAGTGCTGACATCACCCCTCCCCTAACCCCAGGCTGCACATCTAACAGCTCCAAAAGATACTCATTCTTTATACTTGAAGAGAGAAGAGGGGAGAATGGGGAGAATTTTGTCTTGCATCTTGGATACCAACTAGCCATTACAGGACAAGGCACTGGTCAGAGTCATGAGACCCCTGTTATAGGCCCTAGTTCCCAGATGCCATTTCTAGACACATCCTGGGCCAGAAGGAAACCCACTGCCTTGAAGGAAATGACTCATTCCTAGCAGCATTCATCTGTTAACTGAAGAGCCCTTGGACTCTGAATAACCACAAGTTTTACCTTGGTATTACACCAAGGTCCTTGGATGAGCCTCCAAGACTTGCTGGCTTCAGGTGAGACTCAGCACATTGCCAGTTTTGGTGGTTATGGGCCCAAACTCTTTCTATTTGAGAAAAGCAGAGGAAAAAGTAAAGGGGACTTTGTCTTGCACTTTAGGTACCATCACAACCACAGAGGGTAGAGGAATAAGCAGGCCCTTGGGATCTCTGATTCTAAGATGTGACACTTGGATGGCATTTCTGGACATGCCCTGCGCGAGAGGGGAGCCTACGACCACGTAGGGGAGTCCCAGGTCAGGCAAAATTCACCACAAGCTGACTTAAGAGACCTTGGACCTTAAGAGAATATCCAGGGTAGTCTGAGAGTACTCCACATGGCCTGAGGTGGAGATGGCTTCAGGGTGAGGTTCCTGTGCCTTTGGAAAGGGGAGAAAAGTATGGAAGAACTACATCGTATGGTTTGAGTGCTAGCTCAGCTGAGATACAATAGAATACCAGGTAGACTCCTAACATTTTTTACTCTAGCCCCTGATGCCAGGATGGTGCTTTTGGATTCACCTGGGGCCTGGGGGACCTCACTTCCCAGAAGGGAGGGACACAGGCCTGGCTGACTTTGTCACCTACTGATTATAGAGCCCCAGGGCCTTGAGGAAACATATGCAGTAACTAGGGAGTGGTTACCACAGGCCTTGGGAGAGACTCCGTGCTGTGCTGGTTTCAGGTCTGACCCAGTACAGTCATAGTGTTGATGGGCACAAGCGTACATGAGTAAGTTCACCCTCAGCTTTAGGAGGTTCAGAACAGAGAAAGACTATATGTTTGGGAGAAAGTAAGGGAAGAGAATAGAAGTTTCTTAGTGGTAATCCAGAGAATTCTCTTGGATATTGTCTAAGACCATCCAGAACCACAGCATTAGTGTGCTTGGTGCGCCCCCAAAAGCAGATAAAGCTTAGATCACAACATCCAAGTCCTTTTAAACATCTGAAAATCCCTCCCAAGAAGGAGGAGTACAAACATGTCTAGTAGTGAAGACTACAATAAATACATATCTCTTCAATGCCCAGATATTGAAGAACATCTATCAGCATTATCACCATCCAGGAAAACATGATCTCACCAAATGAACAAAGAAGGAATTCAGAATCCTATAAGACACATTTAACAAAAAGATAAAACAATCAAAAATAATCAAGCGGAAATTCTAGAGCTGAAAAATGAAATTGGCATACTGAAGAATTCTTCGGCATCCTTTAATATCAGAATTGATCAAGCAGAAGAAAGAATTACTGGGCCTAAAGACAGGCTGTTTGAAAACACACAGTAAGTGGAGATAAAAGAAAAAAAAACGAAGCATGGCTACAGGATCTGGAAAGCAGCCTTAAAACTGCAAACTTAAGAGCTATTGGCCTTACAGAGGAAGTAGAGAAAGTGATGGGGGAAGAAAGTTTGTTCAAAAAGATGATAACAGAGAATTTCCCAAACCTGGAGAAAGATATCCATATCCAAGTAGAAAAACATTATAGAACACCTAGCAGATTTAACACAAAAAGGACTGCATTAAGGCATTTGATAAACAAACTCAAATCTTGAGTTAATTTTTGTATAAGGTGTAAGGAAGGGGTCCAGTTTCTGTTTTCTGCATATGGCTAGCCAGTTTTCCCAACACCATTTATTAAACAGGGAATCCTTTCCCCATTGCTTATTTTTGTCAAGTTTATCAAAGATCAGATGGTTGTAGATGTGTGGTGTTATTTCTGAGGCCTCTGTTCTATTCCATTGGTCTATATATCTGTTTTGGTACCAGTACCATGCTGTTTTGGTTACTGTAGCCTTGCTGTGTTGTTTGAAGTCATGTAGCTTGAGGCCTCCAGTTTTGTTCTTTTTGCTTAGGATTGTCTTGGCTATATGGGCTCTTTTTTGACTCCGTATGAAATTTAAAGTAGTTATTTCTAGTTCTGCAAAGAAAGTCAACGGTAGCTTGATGGGAATTGCATTGAATCTATAAATTACTTTGGGCAGTGTGTCCATTTTCATGATATTGATTCTCCCTATCCATGAGTATGGATGTTTTTCCATTTTTTTGTGTCTTCTCTTATTTCCTTGAAGAGTGGTTTTGTAGTTCTCCTTGAAGAGGTCCTTCACATCCCTTGTAAGTTGTATTCATGGGTATTTTACTCCTTTGTAGCAATTGTGAATGGGAGTTCACTCATGATTTGGCTCTTTGCTTACGTATTATTAGTGTATAGGAATGCTTATGATCTTTGCACATTGATTTTGTATCCTGAGACTTTGCTGAAGTCGCTTATCAGCTTAAGGGATTTTTGGGCTGAGATGATGGGGTTTTCTAAATATACAATCATGTCATCTGCAAACAGAGACAATTTGACTTCCTTTCTTCCTATTTGAATACTCTTAATTTTTTCTCTTGCCTGATTGCCCTAGCCAGAACTTTCAATATTATGTTGAATAGGAGTGGTGAGAGGGGGCATTCTTGTCTTGTGCCAGCTTTCAAAGGGAATGCTTCCAGCTTTTGCCCATTCAGTATGATATTGGCTATGGGTTTTTCATAAATAGCTCTTATTATTTTAAGATATGTTCCATCAATACCTAGTTTATTGAGAGTTTGTAGCATGAAAGGATGTTGAATTTTATCGAAGGCCTTTTCTGCATCTATTGAGATAATCACGTGTTTTTTATCATTGGTTCTGTTCATGTGATGGATTATGTTTATTGATTTGCATATGTTGAACCAAGCTTGCACCCCAGGGATGAAGTCAACTTGATTATGGTGGATAAGCTTTTTGATTTGCTTCTGGATTTGGTTTTCCAGTATTTTATTGAGAATTTACACATTGATGTTCATTAGGGATATTGGCCTGAATTTTCTTTTTTTGTTGTGTCTCTGCCAGGTTTTGGTATCAGGATGATGTTTCCCAGAACTTAAAGTAAAATAAAAATAAATACATAAAATAAATAAACAAACTCCCAAACATCAAAGATAAAGAAATTATCCTAAAAGCAGCAGGAGAAAAAAAGAAGTACCATATAATGGAGCTCCAATATGACTGTCAGCAGACATTTCAGTGGAAACCTTACAGGCCAGAAGACAGTAGCATGACATATTTAAAGTACTAAAGAAAAAAAAAACAAAAAGAAACTTTTACTCTAGAGTAGTATATCTGGTGTAATTATTCTTCAAACGTGAAGGAGAAATAAAGCATTTCCCAGACAAACAAAAGCTGAGGGATTTCATCAATACCACACCTGTTCTACAAGAAATGCTAAAGAGAATATTTCAATCAGAAATACAAGGACATTAATGAGCAATAAATAATTACCTGATGGTACAAAAAATTACTGGTCATAGTAAGTACACAAAAAAACATAGAATGTTATAAAACTGTAACTGTGGTATGTAAACTACTCTTATCCTAAGCAGAAAGAGTAAACAATGAAAAAAATAATAACTAAAAAATATTTCAAGACATAGTACAATAGGATATAAATAGAAACAACAAAACGTTAAAAAGCGGGGGGTGGGGGATGAAGTTAAGGCATAGAGTTATTATTAGTTTTTCTTTTGCTTGTTAAATTGTTTGCTTTTGCAAATAGTGCTAAGTTGTTATCAGTTTAAAATACCGGAGTTATAAAATAACATTTGCAACACTCGTGGTAATCTCAAAGCAAAAAATAAAAATGGATACAAAAAATAAAAAGCAAGAAACTAAATCAAATTACCAGAGAAAATTACCTACACTAGAGGAAGACAGAAAGGAAAGAAAGAAGAAAGTGAAGACCATAAAAGAACCAGAAAACAAATAACAAAATGGCAAGAGTAAGTGCTCATTCGTCAATAATAACATTGAATGTAAATGGGTACAACTCTCCAATCAAAAGCCATCAGCTGGCTGAATGGATGAAAATCAGGAAGTATTTATCTGTTGCCTACAATAAACACAGTTCACCTATAAAGACACATAGACTGAAAATAAAGGGATAGAAAAATTATTCTATACCATTGGAAACCAGAAACGAGCAGGACTCATAGCACTTATATCAGACAAAATAGATTTCAAAACAAAAACTATAAGAAGGGACAAAAATGGTCACTATATGATAATAAGGGACTAAATTCAGCAAGAGAATATACAAATTTTAAGTTTATATACACCCAACCATGGAACACCCAGATATGTAAAGTAAATGTTATTAGAGCTAAGGGGAAAGACAGACCTCGATACAATAATAGATGGAGATTTCAACAATCAACTTTCAGTATTTGACAGATCTTCCAGAGAGAAAATCAAGAAACATCAGACTTAATTCATACTATAGACCAAGTGAATCTAATAGATATTTATAGAATATTTCATCCAAGAGCTGCAAAATACACATTCAACATCATTTGATTATAAGCTCTCATTATGTCTTCTATAATTTTTGGGTAATAAAGTTTACACTTCAATACTTGTTTTGATAACTTGCATAATCCAACAACTATTTATTAAATTTTTAATCTGCCAGGCAATGTGGAAGGTACTGGATTAAATAAGACAATGTCAATAATGCATTTGATACATGGCAGGTCCTCAATATAAGCTATTTAAATGGGCCTCCTGTATTGATACTAAAGTAACAACAATAGTTAAAATCTATTAAACATTTTCTATGTGAGACATGTTATATTACTTTGAATACTTACAGTGGGCCAAAGGATATGGTTAACAGATATATTTGATGTGCTAATCAAGCATTTATCTTTATTATCTGGAAATGGTTTCCCACAACTTCCAATAAAGGGACAGATTTACGTAGGGTCCTTTGTATGAGGTGACCCTGGTCCCTAGTTACCACTGATTGAACAAGTAACGGATTCTTAACTCAAAATAAGCCAATCAGATTATCTCTGTCATTAATTGAAATAAAAGTCAAAATTTTTAAAAATTTTGGTAAATACTGGAGGTGCAAGCTTATGAAGGCTGAACTGTCAGTTATTTTAGCTATATGCATCCACAGAAGTCAATTCAGTATAGAGTAGCAGGAAAAGCAATAGCTGCAGAGAGGGAATCAGTAAAAACACAATATGTGGCAGTTGGAAGGCAGAGTAGTGGTGAGGGGAGCTGGGAGAGGTATTCAAAGAAATTGGGTTGTGAAAATTCCTTATAGATTCCTATGATAATGTCTTTTCAATTTAAACTAGTTTGGTACCTGTAACCAAACATGCTCTATTATAGGTAGGTTTACCTTGTTTTTATAGATAAAGAAAGAGGATAACAAAATTTAAGTCAAATTTCTCTAAGTCACAAAGCAAGCATATGGCATAGATATGACTCAGAGTAAGATTTGCCTGGCACCAAGACTTTTTTCTTCTAACTCAATTGTACTGTTATCTGCCTTTTCTGTACTGTATTTTGCTATAAGCAAAATAAGAATACTTTCTATTTTGCATGTCTCTTTTGAAGATTAGATGACATAATGTTTATAAAATCCATAGAAAAATGCCTGGCATTTAGTAGCTGCTTAATAAATGTTATTTCTCTTCTCACCTTTGAGATGGGTAAAACAGGTATGGATATTCTCCTTATACAAGTAAACTAACTGAAAGATATGTCTCCCTAAAGTAACATAAGGCTCAAACACTTGTTTAAGTTGAACTGAATGTTTCTCCTAATGAAGCATGCTGCTTTTGATTAATAAAATGTTTAGCCTCTTAATTAAGAACAGAGACACTAGTATAAAGTTTAATTTCATGTTTAGAAGCATAAAACTTGGAATATTGTTTGTTGTAAATGCTTACTTATTTCTCCTTGAATCTATCATTTAAATGGATGATCTAGAGGAAAAGTAACTGAAAAATAATTTTACCCTAGCAAATATTTCACTGTTTTTAGTGATTACTTTCTTGTTTAGTGGTTCCTTGCCTTTTTATTTTAAATATTTAATGGATGAATAAAGATTGTATTTGTTCAAGGTAAGCAACATGATAATTTGATACAAATGCTTTGTATGATTACCACACTCAAATTAATTAACACATCTATCATGCTGTACCTTAGACCCTCAGAACTTGTTCATCTTATAACCGAAAGTCTGTACCCTTGGACCAACATCTCACCATTTCCCCTTAATCTCCAGGCCCTGGCATTCACCATTCTTTCTGCTTCTGTAAGTTATATTTTTTTAGATTCCACATTTAAATGAGATGATATAGTATTTGCCTTTCTGTGTCTGGTTAATTTCACTTAGAATAATGTCTTCAAGGTTCATCCATGTTTTTGCAAATGGCAGGATTTCCTTCGTTTCCATGGTTGAATAATATTCCATTATGTATATGTACCGTGATTTCTCCATTGATTCATTAGGCGGTGGATACTTAGGCTGTTTCCACATGTTGGCTGTTGCAAACAATTCTGCAATGAACATGAGGGTGCAGAAATCTCTTTGAGATACTGACTGGTTTTCCTTTGGGTATATACCCAGAAGTGAAATTGCTATATTATATGGTAGTTCTATTTCTAATTTTTTGAGAAATATCCATACTGTTTTCCATGATTGTATCAATTTACATTCCCACCAACAGTATACAAGGGTTATCTTCCTCTACACCCTTACCAACATGTATCTCTTGTCTTTTTGATAATGGATAATGGATAATGGATATAATAGTATGTGTGAGGTGATACTGTGGTTTTGATTTGCATTTCCTTTTATAATTTTTTAAAATTTATTGTTTGTTGAGGTACATATATATACAGATAATTTGCAATGTTTACCAATTTTAAGTGTAAAGTTCAGTGGTGATAAATACATTTATGTTCTTCTGTTTCCCTTCATTCATCCCTCACCTTTTCCCTTCCAACCTCTAGTAACCACCAATCTACTTTATCTTCATGAGATACAGGTTTTTAGATCCCACATGAGTGATAACATGAAATATTTGCTTTCTGTGCTTGGCTTATTTCACTTCCACTTAATAGAATCACCCCTAGTTCTATCCATGTTGCTGCAAATGGCAGGATTTCCTTTATTTTATCACTGAATATTATTTTATTGTGTGTATATATACATGTAAATATGTTTGTATATATATATACAGACATTTATATACATATATACACATATGTAACATATATACACATACACATATGTAATATATACACACATATACATATATGTATATATTACATATACACATATACATATGTATATATTACATATATACACATATACATATGTGTATATATATTTTATATATATATATACACACACACACACATATATATACCCTGATTTATTTATTCATTTATTTGTTGATGGAAACAGGTTGTTTCTGTATCTTCGTTATTGCAAATAGTGCCGCAATGAATGCATTTCCTTTGGGTACATACCAATAAGTGGGATTGCTGTATAGAATGGTAGCTTTATTTCTCATTTTTGAGAAACTTCCACACTGTTTTCAATGACTGTACTAATTTACATTCCCACCTACAGTGTACAAGTGTTCCCTTTTTTCACACCCTCATCAACACATCATCTCTTGTCTTTTTGATAATAGTCATTCTAACAGGAATGTTGTGATATCTCTGTGGTTTTTATTTGAATTTCCCTGATAATTAGTGATAGTGGACACATTTTCATTTACCTGTTGTCATTTGTATGTCTTCTCAATAAGGTTATTTGATTTTTTTGTTTTTTTTGCTATTGAGTTACTTGAGTTATTTATGTACTTTGGATATTAAATGCTTATCAGATATACGATTTGCAAAAGTTTTCTCTCATTCTGTAGGTTTCCTTTTCATTTTGCTGACTGTTTCCTTTGCTGTGTAGAAGCTTTTTAGTTTATTGTAGGACTACTTGCTTATTTTTGCTTTTGCTTCCTGTGCTTCTGGTGTCATTTTAAAGAAATCCATTGCTGAGAAAAATGTCAAGGAACTTTTTCTCTATGCTTTCTTCTAGGAGTTTTACAGTTACTGACATTACATTTAAGCCTTTAATCAATTTCTAGTTAAATTTTGTATATGGTGTAAAAAAATCACCCAATTGGGAAAATAAGTAATTAACTTCTGTTTGCAGATGAATGATGTTCTATATAAAAAACCCTACATACTCCACCACAGAACTGTCAGAATTAATAAGTGAATTCAGTAAAGGTGAAAAATACAAAACTAACACACAAATATTTGTTATGTGTCTATACACTAAAAAGAAACTGTCTGAAATTAAAAACCAAAAAAAAATCCCATTTATAACAGCATCGCTAAAGAGGTGAAAGATCTGTACATTGAAAACTATAAAGCATTGATAAAAGAAATGGAAGAAGGCATGAATAAATGGAAAGATAGTCTGCATTCATGAATTAGAAGAATTAATATTGTTGAAAAGTCTATACTACTTAAAGTGATCTACAGATTCAATACAATCCTTATCAAAAGTTCAATGTCTATTTTTTGCAGAAGTAGAAAAACAATTTTAAATCTTGTATGGAACCACAACAGAACCTGAATAGCCAAAGCAAATTCGAGAAGGAAAAACACAGATGGAGGCATCACACTTCATTTTTTCAAACTATATTACAAAGTAATCAAGGAGTATGGTACAGGTATAAACACAGACACATAGACCAATGGAACAGAATAGAGAGCCCAGAATTAAATCCAAAAAGGCATGTTTAACTAATCTTTCACAAAGGTGTCAAGGATACACGTGAGGAAGGGAAATTTTCTTCAATAAATGCTGTTGGAAAATCTTGATATCCACATGCAAAAAGATAAAAGTGAACCCTTGTCTTATGCCATATACAATAATTAAATCATTTGCTTTTTCCACATACTTTTCAAGTAAGAAATTTAAACCAATTTTCAAACAGAATAGAGGCTATTTAGCATTAGAATTATCTATTTTTGCTGTTCTTAACTTCAAATATATTACTACTAACTTTTTTTCTTGCATGTAGGCAAATCAAGGCCTTACACAATATGTTCAATCTTTTAAAAAAATAAAAATGCTATTATTGCAATATATTCACATTGAGTTGTACAAGATAATTTAATTCAATTATAATTTCAAAATAGGCAAAAGAAAACATAAATTTCAAATATTTGCACAAGCAAAATTAAAGACTTCTAGGCTCTCTGAGGATTTCCTTCTTAATATTAAAACATTGTGCTGGAAATACAGTAATATCAAAGACAATTTTATTATGATTCCTCTAAAATCCACTGTTGCTGATTGTTTGTTATATTTAAGGAATCAAAATTAAATGGTGATACGAGATTAATTTTAAATCCCAATTATTACAAAAAACAGGTATCAGCAATCAATTTCTAGCTTTAAAAATAAAATGTCATCACAAAATATTCAGTTTATTTGATTACGAACAGTGAAAACATTCATCATTTAGAGCAGGAGTTGGCAAACATTTTCTGTAAAGGGGATGATAGTAACTGTTTTAAGTTTTATAGACCACCCTGTCTGTGTTGCAAACTATTATTCATCTCTGTCATTGTAGTGTGAAAGTAACCAGATACAATATATAAATGAATGGGCATGGATATGTTCTAATAAAATTAATTTATTGACATAAAATTTGAATTTCATCTAATTTTAATGTGTCAAAAAATTCTTTAAGAGCTTTTTCTTCAACCACTTAAAGATTTAACAATCATTCTTAGATTGAACACTGCAGAAAAATAAGTAGAAGGCCAGATTTATCCTATGGCTATACTTTCCTGGCCCTTTATTTAGGTAACTTTTGCTACCCGTAGCTGCATATCCTCTATTAAGTGGAACAGTAGCTGATGGAAATTAATATAATCTCATACAATTAACTATAAAGAATAATTTATAACGATGCTAACATCTCATTAGGTTATAATAGTAAATAAAGTGGAGATACGACTACAGTCCCAGGGCTAGCAACATCTCCCTAATAAGAACACAAAAAAACCTAATTGTAAACTTCTGTTTTTCTAAGAAATAGCATGGGTAATAGAAATTTCTAGACCTTTTATATTTTTACTACAGCCAAAATTTAAAATCTTTCCCTGAAGACATTTTAGAGAAGCTGCCAACATATAGAGAAAGTAACTAATTCAAACACCATTTCTTCTTCCCAACTTTCATGAAAATGCTAATAAGTGATATACCTAATAAATGGGCAGTATAGAGAGAAATTGAATTAAATGCCCAAATATATTTATCATGAGGTCACTCAACTGATCAAAAGTGGGCTATGTATAAATATATCTGTAGCAAAACATTAAACCATTATGCAACATTTTTAGAAGATTTTTTTTTATGCTGTGTGCTGATCAGGAATGACTGATTTTTGTTCCAATACCAAGCAATCTTAAGACCTCATTTACTTAAAGCAATAAAGGTTTATTTCTTCCTCATAGTACATGTGTTTCACAGGTTGGCTAGGAGCTGTGTTACATTTTGTCTACCCTGAGACCAAGGCTTAAAAGAGGAGCTACCATTCAGGATGCTGCAAGCAATTGAGATGAAGGTAAAGAGAACATGGAAAAACACACTACCTCCCAAAGATTTCACTAAGAGATAAAATGCAGCATGTCTCCTCACATTTCATTGGTTACAGCCAGTCTAGTGGCCATGATGAACTTTGCGGGGTTGGGGAAGTACAATCTCATTGTGTGACTGAACCTAATGAGGAGAGCCAAAGGTAAATGGTGAATAACAATAATGACTACCACAGTCTGCCCTTTTGGTCACAGAAAATTCAGTTCACTCCCTTTATTCACACAGAATATTATCACTTCTTGCCCAGGGAGAGCAACACAGAAATCTCATCTGGTGACTGTGTGGAGCTCAAAATCCAAGATCTCTGAGTCAGGCACAGGATTCCCGATATCAGATCCAGATATGACTCCTCCTTATCTGAAGACCTATGGAATATAAAGAAAAATGATCTACCTCCCACACATATACATTATACAGTGTTCAAAGAGACAAAATAATCCAAATAAATACCTTCATTAGGAAGGGGAAAGGATGGGAAACATACACATACTGGCTGTTAAAGCTTCTACCTATCACTGATATACATCAGTTCTGCTCATAGTTCATTGCCCAAGCCAAGTCACATGGCTCTACATAACTTAAAAATATTTGAGAAAATGTATTTCTAACACAACCCTGGAAGTAAAAAAGTATGAAATAGTGAAGAACACTCATGATTACCATAAATGTACACATAGGGTTGTCTGAAACCACAACTATCCATGTTAAAAAAAGTGACTATTTTCTTCTATGCTCTGAAATGCAAGCTTTGCTTGTCAAACTGTGAGTATATCCAATATTTTGTTCAGGCCACAGGGAGAGGTGACAAGTTTACTTTATTACTTAAGGGCAGACACTAATCAATTTTTACATCTTGTATTAGAGGCAATATTTACAAAAGATGAAGTGTTGTGATAATTACAACAAAGGAAACATCAAGTTTAAGATGTATCATAAATTTGCTTTTTGTGTTCAGAAGAACATCATATTTTTCTGTATTTGATGCATCCTATTTCTAACATGTCAGAGTTTTCAAATTTCATAAAGCATACAATTCCACTGTGCATAAAAATTACCATGAATCTTTAAAATGGAAGGGAGAGGGTAAGAAGAAAAAAAAATTACCATGGGCCCTTGTTAAATATTCAGTTAGCCCTGTTCCTTATTAGGTCTGTGGTGGATTTAAAGAAGCTACAAGTTTAATAAGCATTTCTGATTCTTCTGAAGTAGGTAGTCTCTGAAAACATCATTTAAAAATGTATGAAATGGAGTAACAAGAAGGTGGTAATCAGGAATTTCTGAACTACTTTGCAATGAAAATCTATATTAGTAATATAATTTATATCTTGTATACCTAAATAAATAACTTACAGAACACACTTCATGCTAAAATAGATAAATCAGTTATGAGTAATATTAATTACTCACTGGAAAAAATGAATCACATTTGATTCTGATATATTAGCTATTGAATTAAATATATCACCTTCTATATCAGATTCATCATGCACTGAGTAAGGTATATCATCTGCTGAATTAAGTCTCCTGCATAAATCTGATACTTCACCTCTTGAACCAAAAATCTAACCCTCTAAATTAGACACATAACTTGCTGAATCTAATATACCATCAATGAAATCAAAATTACCACCTAAGTCATGAGTTTTGAAATGACTATTTTAGGTTGCATGTATCTATAAAGAAGTAGTACAATACCCTGCATCATTCTTAATTTAGATTTTACTTGAGTAAACCCCTGGAGACCTTCATTTTGTTCTATAGAGTTTGATCAGCTTTCTTCTACTTAGTGTATCTAAGGCCACCAGTAACCAGGAGAAAAGGGAAATATATCTCGGCATAAACTATGAAAATATATGTACAATATATATAATATACATAATAAAAATATAAGTGTATATATTTAGCTAAGTAATCTAAACAAATACAATATTCACTGAGTTGTATTTACTGTTGCTACTCCTGCATTATGCAAAGGCCATGCCTAAAATGAAGAAAAAGTTAGCAACTTGTCAGTTATCTGTTTATCAAGATCCATAGTGACATTCTAGTGGTCTGTAAAGATCTTCTCAGTAAGCTTGCGGTGGGTTTAAAACTCAAATTGAGTGAAACATTCCTATTATCTGAAGAATGTATTTAAATTTATAAATACAATTTTAATGTGAAAGTCATAAATGTAAACATAAATATGGTTGTAAACAAAGACCTACAATATAGGAGCTGAATATAATATATGAAATCATACCTCATGGCCTCTGTATATCACACTTAATTATTTTCCAATTATGTAAACTATTTAGGCTTAGCATGAAGTTCAGTAACATCTTGTTACTCTTGTGTGACCTTTGGTTATGTATAAAATTAGTTCATTTAAATAAAGTTATCATTCTAAATATTTTCCCAAATATATCACCTGCTATATAATTATTCTGTTACAATCAATGTTTTCATGATTTTTAAATTTGTGAACTATTTTCAAATATCATTTTAAATAAGAAACATGATCAACATTTTTATAAAAAATTAACTCAAGTGCAGTAATTTAATCGTTAATTACCCCCTTTATTTTTGAAAAAAATTATTTTTTATAGAAAAATAGAAATACAAGTAAGAAACTTTAAAATTACCAAAAATCAAATGACTCTGAGATTACCATTGTCATTACTCAGATATTCCCTATACAAATATATGCATTGAACTCACATTCTTAAAATCATTTTAACCGACATAGCAGTGTGCGGCTGATTTGAAGCATTAAAACTCAGCATATTTATATTTTGTTTGCTTAATTACTTCTCTTCACAGTCTTGTAAGATAAGATAGAAAGGTCTCGTACTGTCTTTTCCATTTTATAGATGAAGAAGAAATAGAGACACATTTTCATGTTGACACATTGACAACATTTTAAATAGGCTGTTTGATCTGTTAAAATAAACTTTTATACAGGATTAAACTATAAAAAGTCAAAATGAATCATTTATAATTGTATGTCAAGCCCAATATTCTTTGCCCTTCACCAGGTTTTGTGGCTTTAAAAATATTCTGTTTAGCTTATTTCTTTATGATAAGTGTAAGAATACTGACCTTCATTTCATCTTTCCTGAATTAACTCCATAGGCAAACCTTAATGTTACCATAGCTTTATGTCACTTTGTAGCCATTTTCTTCTAGTCTATGGGTTCTCTGAACCCCTCTTGTATTACTTGAGAAATGTAGCACTGGGTCTGGATCACGATTAGTGGAAACCAGTGGCATGAGATATTAGAATCCAAAGCACTAGTGGAAATATTCTTCAACTCCTATAGGATTTTTTTTCAGGAATGGCAAGAAAAGGTAGTACATAATCTACCTATATAGAAAATAAATTGCAGAGAGGGCTGATATAGACAGACATGGATCAAAGTGAAGACAACCAAAGTCAAATCCATAGCAGCAATGACCTCTCTCTGTTAACCATTTTCCTGCACAAAAATAACCTCTTTTGATTGAATCAATTTGCTTTCTTATCCCATTTTTTAGTCCTCAAGGTTAACATTGAAATTGCACATCAGCTGAGTGTTTGAAATGTCCCTGGATTCCCAGAAGATAAAATACTACAAAATATTTAAACATAATGCTGAGTCAGCTGGGAAGATCACTAGAATGAGTTAGAATACTTGGTTCCCTTTTTAACATGAAGGGATGTTAAATTTTACCGAAAGCTTTTTCTGCATCTACTGAGATGATCTTTTTGTTGCTCTTATTTTAAGTTTTGTGCATTTTGTTTTATGGGTTTTGGTGGGCTTTTTCGAGACAGGGTCTTACTCTGTCACCCAGGCCGGAGTGCTATGGCACAGTCTCAGATCACTGTAGCCTCAACCTCCTGGGCTCAAGTGATCCTCCCACCTCAGCCTCTGGAGTAGCTGGGATGACAGGCTCACACCACCACACCCAGCTAATTTTTGCATTTTTTGCAGAGACAGAGATTTGTCATGTTGCGCAGGGTGGTCTCTAATTCCTGAGCTCAAGCTATATGCCCACCTTGGCCTCCCAAAGTACTGGGATTACAGATTACAGGCATGAACCACCATGGCTGGCCTGAACATGTGGTCTTTGTCTTCAGTTCTGTTTATGTGATGAGTCACATTTACTGATTTGTGTATATTGAATGAGCCTTGCATTCCAAGGATAAAGCCTACTTGATTATGGTGGATTAGCTTTTTAATTTGCTGCTGAATTCCCTTTGCTAGTATTTTGTTAAAGATTTTCATGTCAATGTTCATCAAGGATATTGGCCTGAATTTTTCTTTTGTTGTTGTGTTTCTGCCAGATTTTGGTATCAGGATGATGCTGGCCTCGTAGAAGAAATTGGAGAGGAGTCTCTCCTTCTCAGTTTTTTTGGAATAGTTTCAGTAGGAATAATACTAGCTTTTCTTTCTATGTCTGGTAGAATTCAGCTGTGAATCTATCTGGTCCTGGGCTTTTTTTTTTTTTTTTTTGGTTGGTAGGCTATTTATTACTGATTCAATTTTAGAGCTTCTTCTTGGTCTGTTCAGAGAATCAATTTCTTTCTGGTTCAGTCTTGGAAGGATGTATATTTCAAGGAATATATCCATTTCTTCTAGATTTTCTACTTTGTGTGAATAGAGGTGTTCATAGCAGTTTCTGATATTTATGTGTGTCTCTGTGAGGTCAGTGGTAATATTCCCTTTGTCATTTCTAATTGTGTTTATTGGGATCCTCTCTCTCTTCTCCTTTCTCAGTAGAGCTAGCAGTCTATCTATCTTATTAATTTTTTCAAAAAGCCAAATCCTGGATTTGTTGATCTTTGAATGTATTTTGTGTCTCAGTCTCCTCCAGTTGAGCTCTAATTTTGGTTATTGCTTGTCTTCTGTTAGATTTGGGGTTAGTTTGCTCTTGCTTCTCTACTTCTTTTAGTTGGGATGTTAGGTGGTTAATTTGATATATTTTTTTAAATTTTGATGTGGGCGCTCAGTGCTATAAATTTCCCCCTTAAAACTGCCATAGCAGTGTCCCAGAGAATCTGTTATCTATACCTTGTTCTCATTAGCTTCAAATAACTTCTTGATTTCTGTCTTAATTTCATTAATTATCCAAAAGTCATTCAGGAGCAGTTTGCGTAATTTCCATGTAATTGTACAGTTTTGAGCTATTTTCTTAATGTTAATTGCCAATTTGATTACACCATGGTTTGAGAGAGTGGTTGGTGTGACTTTGGTTCTTTTGCATTTTCTGAGGATTGTTCCATGTCAGAATGTTTGGTTAATTTTAGAGTATGTGCCATGTGGTGGTGAGAAAAATGTATATTCTGTGTTTTGTGAAACATGGTGAAACCCCGTCTCTACTAAAAATACAAAAAATTAGCCAGGCGTGGTGGCGGGCGCCTGTAGTCCCAGCTACTCAGAAGGCTGAGGCAGAAGAATGGCATGAAGCCGGGAGGCAGAGCATGCAGTGAGCCGAGATCATGCCACTGCACTCCAGCCTGGGCAGCAGAGTGAGACTCCATCTCAAGAAAAAAAAAAAAAAAAAAAGAGTCAAGACCTGTTAGTGTGCTGTATTCAGGAGACCCATCTCACATGCAAAGACACACATAGGCTTGAAATAAAGGGATGGAGAAAGATTTACCAAGCAAACGGAAAGCAATAAATAAATAAATAAATTAATTAATTAAATTAAATTTAAAAAGCAGAGGTTGCAATCCTAGTCTCTGATTAAACAGACTTTAAACCAACAAAGATTATAAAAGACAAAGAAGGCCTTTACATAATGGTAAAGGGATCAATGCAACAAGAAGAGCTAACTGTCCTAAATATATATGCACCCAATACAGGAGTGCCCAGATTCATAAAGCAAGTTCTTAGAGACCTACAAAGAGACTTAGACTCCCACACAATAACAGTGGGAGACTTTAACACCCCACTGTCAATATTAGACAGATAAAGGAGACAGAAAATTAAAAAGGATATTCAGGACTTGAACTCAATTCTGGACCAAGTGGACTTAATAGACATCTACAGAACTCTCCACCCTAAATCAATAGAATATACATTCTTCTCAGCACTATGTCACACTTATTCTAAAATTGACCACATAACTGAAAGTAAAACACTCCTCAGCAAATACAAAACAGTGGAAATCATAACAAACAGTCTCTTATACCACAGTGCAATCAAATTAGAACTCAGGATTAAGAAATTCACTCAAAACCACACAACTACATGGAAATGGAACAATCTACTCCTGGACTACTGGATAGATAATAAACTTAAGGCAGAAATAAATAAGTTATTTAAAACCAATAAGAACAAAGACACAAAGTACCTGAATCTCTGGGACACAGCTAAAGCAGTGTTTAGAGGGAAATTTATAGCATTAAATGCCCATGGGAGAAAGCAGGAAAGATCTAAAATCGACACCCTAACATCACAATTAAAATAACTAGAGAAGCAAGAGAAAACAAATGCAAAAGCTAGCAGAAGAAAAGAAATAACTAAGATCAGAGCAGAACTGAAGGAGATATAGAGACATGAAAGGCCCTTCAAAAAAATCAATGAATCCAGGAGCTGTTTTTTTTTTTTTTTTTAAATATATAGACTGCTAGCCAGACTAATAAGAAAGGAAAGAGAGAAGAATCAAATAGACACAATAAAAAATGATAAAAGGGATATCACCACTGATCCCACAGAATACAAACTACCATCAGAGAATACTATAAACACCTCTATGCAAATAAACTAGAAAATCTAGAAGAAATGGATAAGTTCTTGGACACAGGAACTTAATTCTGAAATTAAGGCAGATTCCGAGTATTAGACATTTATGAAATGGGGAGGTTGCAAATATTTTCTCCCATTCTGTAGGTTGTTTGTTCACTCTGATAATATGATGGTTTCTTTTTCTGTGCAGAAACTCTTTAAGTAGATCCCATTTGTGAATTTTTGCTTTTGTTGCAAGTGCTTTCAATATTTTTGTCATGAAATCTTTGCCTGTGCCTATGTCCTGAATAGTATTGCCTAGATTTTCTTCTAAGTTTTTCTAGTTTTGGGTTTTACATTTAAGTCTTTAATCCACCTTGAGTTAATTTTTGTATAAGGTGTAAGGAAGGGGTCCAGTTTCAGTTTTCTGCATATGACTAGCCATTCTCCCAGCAGCATTTATTAAGTAGGGAATCCTTTTCCCATTTCTTTTTTTGTCTGGTTTGTTGAAGATCAGATGGTTCTTCATTTGGGGTCTTATTTCTAAGTTCTTTATTCTTAGAATGGAGAATAAAGTTCCATTGGTCTATGTGTCTGTCTTTGTATCAGTACCACACTGTTTTTGTTACTGTAGCTTTGTAGTATAGTTTGAAGTCAGCTAGCATGATGCCTCCAGCTTTGTTCTTTTTGCTTAGGATTGTCTAGGCTATGGGGCTCTTTTTTTGGTTCCATATTAATTTTAAAGTAGTTTTTTCTAATTCTGTGAAGACTATCAATGGTAGTTCAATGGGAATAGCATTGACTCTATCAATTACTTTGGGCAGTATGGCCATTTTGATGATATTGATTCTTCCTATCCATGAATATGGAATGTATATTCGTTTGTCCTCTCTGATTTCTTTGAGCAGTGGTTTGCAGTTCTCCTCAAAGAGGTCCTTTACTTCCCTTGTTAGTTGTATTCCTAGGTATTTTATTCTCTTTGTAGCAATTGTGAATGAGAATTCATTCACGATTTGGCTTTCTGCTTGTCTGTTTCTCACGTATAGGAATTCTTGTGATTTTTGCATATTGATTTTATACCCTGAGACTTTGCTGAAGTTGCTTATCAGCTTAAGAAGCTTTTGGGCTGAGACAATGGGATTTTTTAGATATAGGATCATGTAATCTGCAAACAGAGACAATTTGACTTCCTCTCTTCCTATTTGAATATGTTTTATTTGTTTCTCTTGTCTGATTAATCTGGCCAGAATTCCCAATATTCTGTTGAGTAGGAGTGGTGAGAGAGGGCATTCTTGTCTTGTGCTGGTTTTCAAGGGGAATGTTTCCAGCTTTTGCCCCTTCAGCATGGTATTGGCTATGGATTTCTCATAAATGGTTCTTATTATTTTGAGTTATGTTCCCTCAATACCTAGCTTATTGAGAGTTTTTGACATGAAGGGATGCTGAATTTTATCAAAGGCTTTTTCTGCATCTATTGAGATAATCATGTGGTTTTTGTCTTTAGTTCTGTTTATGTGATGAATTATGTTTATTGATTTGTGTATGTTGAACCAGCCTTGCATCCCATGGATGAAGTTGACTTGGTCTTGGTAGATAAGCTTTTTGTTATGCTTCTGGATTCAGTTTGCCAGTATTTTATTGAGGATTTTTGCATCAATGTTCATAAGGGCTATTGGCCTGAAGTTTTCTTTTTTTGTTGTATCTCTGCCAGGTTTTGGTATCAGGATGATGCTGGCCTCACAGAATTAGTTAGGGAGGAGTCCCTCCTTTTCAATTGTTTGGAATCATTACACAAGAAATGGTACCAGCTCCTCATTGTAGCTCTGGTAGAATTCAGCTGTAAATCCATCTGGTTCTGGGCTTTTTTAGGTTGGTAGGCTATTTAGTACTGCCTCAATTTCAGAACTTGTTATTGGTCTATTCAGTGATTCAACTTCTTCCTGGATCAGTCTTGGGAGGGTGCATGTGTCCAGGAATTTATTCATTTCTTCTAAATTTTCTATTTTATCTTGCATAGAGGTGTTTGTAGTATTCTCTGTTGGTTGTTTGTATTTCCGTGGAATAGGTGGTGATGTCCCCTTTATCATTTTTTATTGTGTCTATTTGATTCTTCTCTCTTTTCTTCTTTATTAGTCTAGCTAGTGTTTCTGAAGCCTCCTTTATAAAGGTATTTATCTCATTCATGAAGACTCTGACCTCATGACCTAATCTCTTTTCAAAAGTCTCCATTCCAAATACCATTCCATTGTGGATAAGGATTTAAGATATAAATTTTGGAGACATAAACATTCAGTCTATAGCAATTTACAGTCTTATTCTATGAAGTTAGCATACCATAGCCAAAGACATTACAAGGAAAAAAACAAACTACAGACCAATATCACTGATTAGTATTGAAGCAAAACTTTTGAACAAAATGCAAGCAAAGTGAATTCAACAGCACATTAAAATATGTATACATCATGATCAGGTGAAATTAATTCCAGTTGTGCAAGGATGATTCAACATTCAAAAGTCAATCATTGCAATACACCACATAAACAGAATGAAGGGAATAAACCCCATTATCATCTCATTTGATTCAATGAAATCTGTTGACAAAATTCAACTCACTTTCATGATAAAACCACTCAACAAACTAGGAGTAAAGTAAAACCACCTTAATATATTAAAGGTCCTATATGGAAATCCCAGAGCCAATATCATACTCAATTGTGAAAGAGTGAAATGTTTTCCTCTAATACCAAGAATGAGACAAGGATGCTCACTTTCATCTCTTCTATTCAAAATAGTACTAAAAGTCCTAGTCAGGTCAATTAGGCAAAAAAAGGTAGTAAGGAATTGAAGTCAGAAATCGAAAAGTAAAATTATATCTATCCACAGAGGACATAATCTTATATGTAGAAAACCCTAAATATTTCATCAAAAATAAAAAAAAAATGGTTAGAACAAATAAACAAATTCAGCAAAGTTGCAGGATACAAAATCAACATGTAAAAGGCAGCTGCATTTTTATAAACTAATGATGAACAATTAAAAAAGGAAACAGTGAAAACATTTCACTTATAATAACATCAAAATGAACTACTAAATAATAAACTCAACTAAGGAAGTGAAAGACTTGTGCACTAAATTCTACAAAATATTCCAGAAAAAATATTTACATTAACACATATAAATGGAAAGATATTTCATGTTCTTGAATTGGAAAGTTAATATTTTAAAGAAGACAATATTGACAGATTTATTGGGAGGAGAGACAAGATGACCAACTAGATGCAGCCAGGAAGAGCATCTCCCACTGAGAGACCAGACCATCAATAAGACTGGCAAATTCTGAGCAGATCTTCAGAAGAAAGGCATTGAGAATGGATTGGGGGAGGATGCAGACCCTGAGCTGAAGGGATAGGAAGCTAGGAACCAAGCACAGGGCTGCTGAGCACCAAGACTTTTTCCTGGCTTCCAGTAACTCCAGGGTGAGGAGTAAATTAAATAAGCAAGGAGTGGCCCACTCTCATCATGAACCGACAGAATCCTAGCTGCAGAAGACTGCATGACGCCCACAGACACTTGAGCTTACAGGGAGACTTGCTCAGAGAGGTGGCAGGGATGAAACTCCAGCCCAGAGGGTTTGGCATGGGAATGGCAGCAGTGGAGCTTGGCCAGGAATGCCCATCCCCTAAGGCTTGCTGTGATCCTCTAGGTGGCTTTGGTCTTTGTTGACTGTTGGATCTGGACAGGGCAGGACAGTCTTGCTCATGGGATAGGGACAGTCTGAACTGAGCACACCCCTGGATGCCAGCTTTTCCTGGAGTTCTTGCCTTACTGTGCCAGCTTGTAGTGCAGCCTGGGATGCCCAACTGGAGCACTTTATGGAAGCCACCACAATAGCTTCTTCACCAGCAGACCATGCTTAATCATCAGAGAACCTTAGTAGAGGGGACCCCACCAACACGTACTCACACATCCATAGCTCTTCCCCACCACTTTGCCATCACACACTTGCACACAGTCCCCACCACACTTTGTCAGTACACACATGGATGTGGACCTCACCACACCATTGCCACAAGCTCATGTGAAAATGAACCTCGCTGCTGGCACCCAAACCCTACTGACATTCAGGTACTCTGCTGTACCACTACTGTTGATACACACGCAGGTGTGGACACCACTGCATCACTGCTGCTGGCATGTGCACATGAGCATGGACCCTGTTTCCACTACCCCAGTGAAGCTCTTTGGCCATCAGCTTCCATTGGAGTGTTTTCATCAGTGGACCGGGAGCACATTGGGCCCTCCAGTGTAGTAGGTGCTTAACCACAAGGGGTCAGAGAACAAAGCCATGGGACTGGTATTAGATCCCCAGGGTTAGAGCATGCAGCCCAGGAGTGCTGAACTGAGACTTGGCACCCTGAAATCTTCCAGAAATAAAGCCAGTTGACTAAACTCAGTTTATACCACAATCAAAACCTCAAGGGCATCAAAAGCAGACAAAAAAAAAAGTCTTCCAAGGGACAGCAGCTTCAAAGATTACAGGAATATTAGCCCACAGAGATGAGAAAGAATCAGCGCAAGAACTCTGACAACTCAAAAAGCCAGAATGTCTTCTTACCTCCAAATGATTACACTAACTCCCCAGCCATGGTTCTTAACTGTGCTAACGTGGCTGAAAGGACAGACGTAGAATTACAAATCTTGATAGGAATGAAGATCATTGAGATTCAGGAAAAAGTTGAAACCCAACTCTAGGGATCTGAGGAATCCAGCAAAATGATATAAGAGCTGAAAGATAAATTATCCATTGCATGAAAAAACCAAACTTGTCTGATAGAGCTGAAAAACTCACTACAATAATTTCATAATATTAAATACAATAAAAATATTAACAGGATAATAGACCAAGATGAAGAAAGAATCTGAGAGCTTGAAGACTGGTTCTTCAAGTTAACTCAGTCAGACAAAAGTAAAGAAAAAAGAAGTAAAGAAAGAACAAAACTTTTGAGAAATATGAGAGTATGTAAAGGGACCAAACGTATAACTCATTGGAATCCCTGAAAGAAAGAGAGAGAGCACGCAACTTGGAGAACATATTTGAGTATATTGTCCATGAAAATTTCCTCAACCTCGCTAAAGAAGTTGACATTCAAATTCAGGATATGCAAAGAACCCCTGTGAGATCCTATACAAAACGACCATCCCCAAGACACATAGTCATCAGATTCTATAAGGTCATCATAAACAAAAAGATATTAAAGGCAGCTAGAGAGAAGGGGCAGTTCACCTACAAAGAGAACCTTATCAGGCTAACAGCATACCTTTCTTAGCACAAACTCTAAGAGCCAGACGAGACTGAGGGCCTATATTCAACATTCTTCAATAAAAGAAATTCCAACTAAGAATTTTATATCTAGCCAAACTATGCTTCATAAGCGAATGAAAAATGAGATACTTTTCAGACAAATAAATGCTAAGGGAATTCATTACCACCAGATCTGCCTTACAAGAGATCAATAAAGAGTGTTAAACATGTAAATGAAAACTTTACTGGCCAACACAAAAAACACACTTAAGTGCATATACCATTGACACTATAAAGCAGTGACACAATGTGCATAACAACTAGCTAACAACACAATGAAAGGATCAAATCTACACATATCAATATTAACTCTGAACATAAACTGGCTAAATGCTCCACAAAAAAGGCACAGACTGGCAAGTTAGATAAAGAAGCAAGACATGACTGCATGCTTCAAGTGACTCATCTCACATGAAAAGACACTCATAGACTTAAAAAAATGGACAAAAATCTATCAAGCCAATGGAAAACAAACAAACAAAAAGCAGAGATTCCAATTCTAATTTCAGACAATATAGACTTTGAATCAACAATGATCAAAAAAGACAAAAATGGGAATAATGTAATGATACAGGGATCAAATCAACAAGAAGACTTAATTATCCTAAATATATATGCACCCAAGACAAGAGCAACCAGATTCATAAAGCAAGTTTTTGGGGTCCTAAAAAGAGACTTAGATAATCCCACAATAATAATGGGAGACTTCAATGCCCCACTGATGGTATTTGACAGATCATCAAGGCAGAAAACTAACAAAGATATTTGGGACTTAAACTTGACACACAACCAAAAGGACCTAATAGTCAAGTACAGAACACTCCACCCAAGAACAACAGAATATATGTTATTCTCATTTGTAAATAGCACATACTCTGTAATTGACTGCACAATCAGTCATATAACAATTTTCAACAAATTAAAAAAAATACCAACAACACTCTTGAACTACAATGCAATAAAAATAAAAATAAATATGAAAAAGGTCTCTTAAAATCATACAACTACATAGAAATTAAACAACCTGCCCATGAATGACTTTTGGGCAAGCAATGAAATTAATGCAGAAATCAAGAAACTCTTTGAAACTAATGAAAACAAATATACAACATACCTAGATCTCTGGGATACAGTTCAAACAGTGTTAAGAGGAGAGTTTATAGCACTAAATGCCCACATCAAAAAGTTAGAAAGGTCTAAAATTAACAACCTAATATTACACCTAGAGGAACTAGGGAAACAAGAGAAAACCAATGGTAAAGCTAGCAAAAGAAGAAAAAGAGAAAAAAAAACAAATAGGAGCTGAATTGAATGAAATTGAGAAGTGATAAACTTTACAGATCAATGAAAGCAAAAGTTGGTTCTTAGAAATAATTAATAGAACTGATAGACTGCTAGCTAGACTGATAAAAAAGTAAGAAGATTCAAAGGAAGACAAGCAGAAATTACAAAAGCGACATTAGTAACAACCACATATAAATATACAAAAAAAAAAAAAAGCCTCAGAGACTATTAGGAACACCTCTAGGCACAGAAACTAGAAAACCAAGAACAAACGGATTAATTCCTGAAAGCATACAATCTCCCAGGAATAAATTGAAACTCTGAACAGACTGATAGCAACCTCCAAAACGGAATCAGTAATAAAAAACTTACCAATCAGAAAAACCACTCAACCAGACAGATTCATACCTGAAATCTACCAGATGTAAAAAGAACAATTGGCACGAATCCTACTGAAACTATGCCAAAAACTAGAGAAGGAGAGAGTCCTACCTAACTCATTCTATGAGGTCAGAATTATTCTGATACCATAATCTGACAGATATAGAAAAAAAAATTAGGCCAACATTCCTGATGAAAATAAATGCAAATATTCTTAACAAAATACTTGCAAACTGAATCCAGAAACACATCAAAAAGCTAATCCACCACCATCAAGCAGGCTTTATTCCTGGGATGCAAGTTTGGCTCAATACATGCAAATCAAATTTGATTAATCACATAAATATAACTAAAAACAAAAGCCACATGATCATCTCAATAGACACACAAAAGGCTTTTGATAAAATTCAACATCCCTTTTTGTTAAAAACTCTCAATGAACTAGGCATTGAAGCAATATAACTCAAAATATTAACAGTCATCTATGAAAAACTCAAAGCCAACATCATACTGAATGAACAAAATCTAGAAGCATTGCCCTTGAGAACCTGAACAAGACAAGAATGCCCTCTCTCACCACCCCTATTCAACATAGTGTTGGAAGTCTTAGCGAGAGCAATCAGGTCAGAGCAAGAAGTAAAAGGCATCCAAATAAGAAGAGAGGAAGTCAAACTATCTCTCTTCGTAGATAATGTGACTTTATACCTAAAAAGTCCCACAGGTCCTGTACAAAAGCCCCTAGATCTGATCAATAACTCCAGCAAAGTTTCAGGACACAAAATCAATGTACAAAAATCAGTAGCATTTCTATACAACAACAATGTCGAAGCTGAGAGCCAAAATAAGAATGTAATCACTTTCACAATAGCCACAAGAAGAATAAAATACTTAAGAACACAACTAACCAGATAGGTGAAAGATCTCTAGAAGAATTACAAAATACTGCTCAAATAAATTAGACAACACAAACAAATGGAAAGACATTCCATGCTCATGGATAGAAATAAGCAATATTACTAAAATGGCAATACTGTCCAACACAATTTACAGATTCAATGCTATTCCTATCAAACTACAAGTGACATATTTCATAGAATTTGAAAAAAACAATTTTAAAATTCATATGGAACCCAAAAAGAGCCTACATAGTCAAAGCAATCCCAAGCAAAATGAAGAAAGCCAGAGACGTCATACTACCTGACATCAAGCTATACTACAACGCTACAGTTAACAAAAACAGCATCATATTGGTACAAAAACAGACACACAGACCAATGAAACAGAATATAGAGCTTAGAAATAAGCCTGCACACCTACAACCATCTGGTCTTCAACAAAGTGGACAAGAACAATCAATGAGGAGAGGACTCCCTATTCAATAAATGGTGCTGAGATAACTGGCTAGCCATATGCAGAAGAATAAAATTAGAATACTTTCTTTTACCATCCGCAAAAATCAACTTAGGATGGATGAAAGACTTAAATGTAAACCCAAAACTATGAAAACTCTAGAAGACAACTTAGGCAATACCATTCTGGACATAGGAACCAGCAAAGATTTCATGCCAAAGATGCCAAAAGCAATTGCAACCAAAGCAAAAATTGACAAACGAGATCTAATTAAACTAAAGAGCTTCTGCATAGAAGACGAAACTATCAACAGAGTAAACAGACAACCTACAGAATTTGAGAAAGTATTTGCAACCTATGTATCTGACAATAGTCTAATATTCAGAATCTTTAGGAAACTTGAACAAATCAACGAGCAAATGAAGCAGTGAAATGAAAACTTGGAGTTATGGGACTGATCTGTACCTTAATTATTGTGATGGTTACATGACTCTATGCAATTGTTAAAATTCGTAAAACTATAGGCCATAAAATGTGAATTTCACTGTATGTAAAAGAAAATGAAAATAAAGACTGAAGCGAAACATTACTTTTTAAATTATTATTATTTTTTGAGATGGAGTCTCACTCTGTTTCCCAGGCTAGAAGGCAGCGGAGCAGTCTCGGCTCACTGCACCCTCTGCCTCCCTGGTTCAAGCAATTCTCCTGCCTCAGACTCCTGAGTAGTTGGGATTTCAGGCACACGTCACCATGCCCGGCTAAGTTTTTGTATTTTCAGTAGAGATAGGGTTTTGCCATGTTGGCCAGGCCGGTCTTGAATTCCTGACCCAGATGATCCACCCGCCTCAGCCTCCCAAAGTGCTGGGATTACAGGTGTGAACCAGCGCACCCGGCCTACTTTAAAAAAATAAAGTTGTTGAAATGGAAAAATTAATGATGATCTAAATAGTATATTAGCCACATCTAAAGAGATATTAGTAAACTGAAATATGGTTTTGAGGAAATTACCCATAAGGCAGGATAGAGAAATTCAAAGACCGGTTAATCAAAGGGAAATCAAATAAACAGATCATTTAGAATATATTTTTGAGCAATAGTAAGATTTATAGATATAGTGACTTTAAATTTTTTCAAGATCTGATAAAGGACACAAATCTGGTTAAAAAAGCATAAAAATTTCTGTGGAAGAGAACATAATTTAACATAACAATTTAATATTATGGCAAAGTGAAACTGTGCAACATCAAAGAAAAAATGGAAATCTTAACAGCAAACATAGATAAAAGATTGCCTACACAGGAAGAATTATAACAAAAATAACATTTTCAATAGCAAAAGCAAAACACACACAAAAAAAATCTCCAGGTAAAATTATTTAACTTAGAATTATAAACTCAGCTAAAGAAAAACTGAGACAGACCCTTGGTTAAAGTCCTGCTGATAAATATACCTCAGAAAGAATGAAGTTAAACTCAGAAAGTAGAAAGGATATGAGAAAGAATATTAAGAAAAAAGAGCTAATATGTGAATCAATATAAATAACAATTCACTGAATAAAAGAAAAAGAAATGCTAAGTGGCATAGTAAGAAATAAAATATATTAACTACATTTTAAGGATAATTTGTAAGGTGAACAGCAATGGTGCCCATGGGTGTACAAATATCTGTTCTAGTCCTTGCTTCCAAATTTTATGGGTACATACCTATAATTAAAATTGTTTCATCTTATTGTAATTCTAATTTAGCTTTCTGAGGACCTACCATACTGTTTTACACAACAGCCGCATTATTTTACATTACCACCAGAAATGTACAGGACTTCTAATTTCCCCATATCTTCAACAACTCTTGCTATTTTCTGTTTTTTGGATAATAGTTAACCTAATGGGTGTGAAGTGGAATATCATAGTAGCTTTGATCTGCATTTCCCCAATAATTAGTGATGTTGAACATCTTTTACGTTTTTGATGGCAATCTGTATGCCCACTTGTGTATATTCTTTGGAGAAATATCTATTCAAACCATTTTTAATTGGATTGTTTTTCCGTTGTGGAGTTATAGGAGTTCTTTACATATTCTAGATATTAATTCTTCATCAAATATATGATTTGAAAATATTTTTCCCATTCTGTGAGTTGCCTTTCCACCTGTTGATTGTTTTGAGGCACAAAAGTTTTTATATTTGATGAAATCTAATTTTGTTTTTATTTTGTTGCCTGTGTTTTTGATGTGATATCCAAGAATCATTGCTGAGTCTAACATCATGACTTAGTTATTAAATACATTTTTATATGAATTACTGAGTAAAAGCAATGCAGATATTCTGCCTAGAGAACTGTAAAATTTTATAGTCCCAGCAAAATAATGTTTCACAGTAGGCAGTTCTATGCAAACATACCCCAAAGTTTGAGGAAGCTGAGAGGCTGAAGAAAGAGAATGACAAATGCAATTTCTTACAGAGACATTTAATAGGGACTTACAAATAGAAGCTATGTCTGTGTCTTGTGTGACAGAGAGACAAGATGGTGGGATTCCTGCAGCATTATCCCCCAGACCCAGGGTTTATACCATAAGGGAGGGGTGGTTCAGAAAGCATGTGTAGGGCAATTTAAAGTATGATAACATCAAGGTTGTTTGGCCTAAGGGCAGGATTTATGGTTAAGTTTCCACTCTTACACAAGAAACAATAGAGAACTTGAAAATCTTAGAGCCCTTCCAAGAACAGGGGTTAATCAGAAGCCAACATGGTAAAATTATTTCCAAGATGGAGTTGCTTTAGCCTCCACAGAATATTAGAGTAAATTTACCTCTACATACTACCCAATGCCGTAGGTTATCAAAAGTTCTGAAAATATCTCATTGTAATTTCTTTTACATTTATCTTATTATAAGTGAACTTGATTTTTTTACAGGTTTAAAAGCAAAAGATCCCGTTAAATTCTGCAGGTCATTTTAAATTCTGCACCAGCAAAGTAAGATATTTTGTAGTTGAGAAGATAATTAAATGGAAGCCTGGTATTAAGATAGAGCATTACAGTGAATATTATGATCCCCTGAGCAGATTCCCTCTTCAGGCCTGTTGCATCCATCCCCTACCTGCTTGCCACAACTGCATTTCTCATGGGAAATTCCAATTGCCCTTAGAGAATTGCTTCACTTAAAATTATACTTTCTATAAGGAAGCAGTCTGCAGTAAATGACTGGCCAATGCAGGGACACAAAAGCCCAGGCCTTTGTTTCAACTGGAGCAACCCTGAATGGCCATCCCACCTCCAGAGTTACTATCTCTTGAATACACTACCTGAATATCAGTTGAGAACTTAGTTATGAGGGAATTGTGCTAAGTTTCTCCCACTACTCAATCCTGGATATCTCAATTCACTACAAGTGAAACACTTTTCAATACATTTTCCGCTTGCTAATTCCCATCTCAGTCTGCTAGGGAAAATAATTAACATAATTGGTGGCAGGTGTAAGCCTAGGAAGCAAACTCTAAAATGGGATTTTGGTACTGTGTCACTTTTCAGCCAGCTGGCAATGAGGACAGTTTAAACAGAATTTGGGAGACAGTGGTGCTATTGTTAGGGTACAGGTTTAGATTCCATAACAAACAACAAAAATGTAGTGGCTTAACAAGACAGAAGCTTTGTTTTCTCTCCAATAACAATCTGAGCAAAAGCAGTTCAGAATAGTGGTTGCATTCTGCTGGAGGCCCAGGGTAGCCTATTTTGTTATTCTGCCATCCTCAACATTTATTAATTTTCTACTGTAGCTATATCCTTGCATTTATGATAATTAACCATAAAGTTTTTAAAATATATTTTATGATTCAGTAGGTTGTTTTTGAATGTTTGCATTTACTTTATTTTTTATTTTTAATTAATTATTTAGTTTTTAGAGAGAGGGTCTTGCTCTGTTACCCAGACTGGAGTACAGTGGTGGGATTATAACTCACTGCAGCTTGGAGCTCCTGGGCTCAAGGGACCCTCCTGCCTCAGCCTCCTGAGTAGCTGAGACTATAGGCACGTGCCGTGAAGCCTAGCTAATTGCATTTACTTTCATAAGTTAAATGTTCAATATGCTTTCAATCTTGAATTGTTCACATCTGTTTAAGGAATAAATACTACACTTGCATTATGAAAAGAGCTGAGAAAGTACAGTTTTTTAAAGTATTTTCAGGAAAATATGTTAAAATATAGATTAACTGTTACTTGAAAGTTGGATAGAACTCACTTGTAAAATCATTGGGCATGTGAGTTGAGGAACAAAGGTTTTGACTACTATTTCTATTTTTTGATACTTCTAGATATACTTAAGTCCCTTTTTTCTTCTTCCAGTTTTGCTGTTTTATATTATTATTATTATTATTATTATTATTTTTTTTTTTTTTTGAGATAGAGTCTCGCTCTGTCGCCCAGGCAGGAGTGCAGTGGCGGGATCTCGGCTCACTGCAAGCTCCGCCTCCCGGGTTCACGCCATTCTCCTGCCTCAGCCTCCCGAGTAGCTGGGACTACAGGCGCCCGCCACCACGCCCGGCTAATTTTTTGTATTTTTTTAGTAGAGACGGGGTTTCACCGTTTTAGCCGGGATGGTCTCGATCTCCTAACCTCGTGATCCGCCCGCCTCGGCCTCCCAAAGTGCTGGGATTACAGGCGTGAGCCACCGCGCCCGGCCTGTTTTATATTATTTTGTAAATGTATTCATTTAATCTAGGTTTTCAAATTGATGTTATAGTCGCTAATTTTGTTCTTATTATTTATTAGAATTCTGTTAGGTCTGTAGCTATTTTCTTTTTTTATGATTGTATTTATTTTTGTATTTTTTTCTAGTTTATTAAACATTTTTGAGAGAAGTCTAACAATTTTGTTACTCCTTTTAAGAAAATATTGTAATTTGAAGAAAGTTGTTTCTGAGTTTTATTATCATTATTACTATTACTATTATTTCTGCCCATTATCATTTTTATTCTATTAGTTTCATTGGTTTTAGTTTCAATGTTTCCAAAATATTGAACTAAATTCTTAGTAATTTAAAAATTATCCTTATTTGTTTATAAAACACAAAGAGTACACATTCTCCACTAATTATTGCTTCTCTGTGAACCACAATTTCTGACAATCGGTGTCTTATCACTCACCTAAAAATTTCTTTATTGTAATTTTTTGTGATTCTTTTTTAAAACTATGGGCTATTTATAAATATGTTATTTTATTTTCTAACTTCTGATTTTAAGCTATTCTTTCATTACTATTGATGTCCAATGTTATTTCATTTTACTGATCTTTTGGAATTTACAGACTTTCCATATGACAAAATATATGCTCTATTATTTTAAATGTTCTTTGTGTGATTGAAAATAATTTTCAGTTGTTTGTACAGTTATATGTGTGAACACACAGAGAGCATATATTAAAAAATCTTTATTTTTGGTTCTCTAGAAGAGTGTGTTAAAGTCTCTAATTAAAATTATTTATCTATGTTTCCTTAAAGTTCTGTCTCTTTTTAATTAACACATTTAGAGTTGGCACTGTTAGGAATATATATTTATAATAGTTATATCTCCTTGTGCAATGGTCCCTTTTACCATAACATAACATTATTTTTCCCTAAATTATATCTGCCTCACTCCTAGCTTTCTTTGATTCATACTGCTTAGTATTTCTTTTTCTTCTCCTCTATTTCTGATTATTCTGTGTCCTTTAAAAGAACATCTGGTTATTCTTTCTCTCTTTTTCAAAACTGTATATTTTCTTTGCTTCATTAATCACTATAATCCATTTACATGCATTGAAACTACTGTTACATTAGGACATGTTTGTCAATTAAATTCACATTTTTCTATTTAGTAAAGTTTGTTGTGTTTCCTTTCTTATTTCTTATGGGTGTCAGTTGCTTAGTGTAAGATTAGTCACAATCTTTGCTTCATGAAAACTTGTCACCATTGTTCTATGTATTGTTCTATTTTAATTTATAAAATAATACACATAAATCAGCTACCTCCCTAATCCAAGAATATTGATATTTCATGTATCTCTTTGTATTTCTCCTATATTCCATTACTAACTCCCTGAATTTAAAGAAACTATGATTTGGCCCACTTTGTATCATTTCAATTAATAACATCTAAGACAAATTCCCTATCATCTCCTACCTGAACTACTGTTGTAATTTTCTCATTAGTTTTACTATATCTGCTTTTTGTCCATTGCAAATCAACTTTCCACACTGCAAACAGAGTGAGCTTCATAAAATACTAGGTTGGTGTAAAAGTGATCGCGGTTTTTGCCATTAAAAGTAATGGTGACCAACCTAATACAAGTCTGATCATTTTATTTTTCTGGTTCAAACTTCTCAATTATGGCCAAGCGCAGTGGCTCATGCCTATAATCCCAGCACTTTGGGAGGCCGAGGCAGGCGGATCACTTGAGGTCAGCAGTTTGAGACCAGCCTGACCAAGATGGTGAAACCCTGTCTCTACTAAAATTACAAAAATTAAGCTATGTGTGGTGGTACACGCCTGCAATCTTAGGTACTCAGGAGGCTGAGGCGGGGGAATCACTTGAACCTGGGAGGTGGAGGTTGCAGTGAGCCGAGATCGGGTCACTGCACTCCAGTCTGGTGACAGAGTGAGACTCCATCTCAAAAAAAAAAAGAAAAAAAAAAAAAAACCAAACTTCTCAATTACTTCCAATTGTGTCTTAGGCTAAAGAACAATATCTTTAGCCTGGCTCCCAACCCCTTGTTTGATTTGTCCCTCTATATTTCTCCAGCCTGGTCTTTTACACATACTTTCTTTTTTTCTGAGCACTAGTCACACAGGTGTTTTTTCATTCTCTCAATAATGCTCCCTCCCATTACAAATTATGATGAGAAATGTTATAGAAGTTCAGAAAAATAGAAGAATAGAATTTATAAAAATTCGATTTTCAACTAAAGCTTTGTCAGGCTGTTTTATTTTTTCTGTCATGTTATTTTAAAAGTAGTCCTTGTTCTTGGGGCCAAACATGATGCCTCACTTCTGTAATCCCAGCACTAGGGAGGCCAAGATGGGAGGTTTGCTTGAGGCTCACATTTAAGACAAGCCTCTACAAAAGGCAAGACCCTATATCTACAAAAAGTAAAAAAAGAATAGCCACGCATGGTGGTGCATGAGTGTAGTCCTAACTACTTGCGGAGCTGAGGTGGAAGTAGTGGAAGTACTGCTGAGAGCCCAGGAGCTCGACATTGCAGTGAGCTACTAATGTACCACTGAACTCCAGCGTGGATAACAGAGCAAGACCCTGTCTTGAAACAAAATTAAAAGTATAAATACAATAAAAGTAGTTTTTGTTCTTATATATCTCCTCCCTTTCTTTATAAGAACTCCAAAATCTTTACCTAATGGGAAATAATTCACATTCATAACATTCTATAATGTTTGATATGAATAGATGTGTAATGGTGTTTAACAGATGAGGCCAGGAAAAGTGATATGATGTCCCTAAGACTATATAGTTACGGGTTCCACATTAGGAACAAAATATTCATTCTTAGAAAAACTTTTATTTTAGGTTCAGTGGTACATGCACAGGTTTGTTATATAGGTAAACTCATATTGGTTGTCCAGATTACTTTGTTATCCAGGTATTAATACTAGTACCAAGTAGTTATTTTATCTGATCCTCTGCCTTCTCCCATCCTCCCTGATCAGGTATGCACCAGTGTCTGTTGTTCCTCTCTCTGTGTCCATGTGTTCTCACCATTTAGCTTCCACTTACAAGGGAGAACATGTAGTGTTTGGTTTTCTGTTACTGCGTAAGTTTTCTGAGGATAATGGCCTCCAGCTTCATCCATGTTCCTGCAAGGGACATGAACTCACTCTTTTTTTTGGCTGCATAATATTCCAGGGTATATAAGTACTACATTTTCTTTATCCAGTCTACCATTGATTAGCATTTAGATTTAATCCACTTCTTTGCTTTTGTGAATAGTGCTGCAATCAACATATGTGTGCATGTGTCCCTATGACAGAACAATTTCTATTCCTTTGGATATATATCCAGTAATGGGCTGGGTCAAATGGTATTTCTGTCTTTATGTCCTTGAGGAATCACCACATTGTCTTCCACAAGGGTTGAACTAATTTACACTCCCACCAATGGTGTATAAGCATTCCCTTTTCTCTGCAACCTCACAAGCATCTGTTATTTTTTGATATTTTAGTAATAGCCATTCTGACTGGTGTGAGATGGTATCTCATTGTGGTTTTGATTTGCAACTCTCTAATGATTAGTGATATTGAGTTTCTTTCATATGCTTCTTTGGCCACATGTATGTCTTCTTTAAAAAAGTGTTCAAGTCCTTTGTCCACTGTTTAATGAGGTTGTTGGTTTCTTTCTTGTGAATTTGTCTAAATTCCTTATAGATGGTGGATATTAGACATTTTTCAGATGTATAGATTGCAAAAATTTTCTCCCATTCTGTTGGTCATCTGTTTCTTCTACTCATTGGTTTTTGTTTGTTTGTTTGTTTGTTTTTGCTGTACAGAAGTTCTTTCGTTTAATTAGAACCTATTTGTCATTTCTGCTTTTGTTGCAATTACTTTTGGCATCTTTGTCATAAAATCCTTGCTTGTTTATATGTCCTGAATGGTGTTGCCTAGGTTGTCTTCCAGGGATTTATAGTTTTGGGTTTAACATGTAGGTCTTTAATCTATCTTTAGTTGATTTTTGTGTATGGTATAAGGAAGGCGTCCAGTTTCAATCTTCTGCATATGGTTAGCCAGTTATCCCAGCACTATTTATTGAATAGGGAATCTTTTCTCCATTGTTGTTTTATAAAGTCAATTTTATTGACAATTAGATGGTTGTAGGTATGCGGCCTTATTTCTAAGCTCTATATTCTGTTCCGTTGGTCTATGTGTCTGTTTTTGTACGAGTATCCATGTTCTTTTGCTTACCATAGTCCTGTCACATAGTTTGAAGTCAGGTAACATGATGCTTCCTGTTTTGTTCTTTTTGCTTAAAATTGTCTTGGCTGTTCAAGCTCTTTTTGGTTCAATGTTGATTTAATAGTTTTTTTACTACTTCTATAAAGAATGTTATTGGTAGTTTGATAAGAATAACATTGGGGAGTTGGGAGTTTTATCTATAAGCCCCTGACTGGGGCTGATGCCTTTCTTTCATAGAGGCCCTGCCCAGAGAGGAATAATCTAGAGAGGCAGTCTGACTACAGTGGCTTTGCCAAGCTGTGGTGGGCTCCACCCAGTTTGATCTTCCCAGTGGCTTTGTTTACACTGTGAGGGGAAAACAGCCTACTCAAGCCTCAGTAATGTCATATGCCCCTCCCTCCACTAACCTCGAGCATCCCAAGTGGACTTCAGACTGCTGTGCAGGCAGCAAGAATTTCAACCCAGTGGATCTTAGCTTGCCGGGCTCCACGGGGGTGGGATCTGCTGAGCTAGACCACTTGGCTCCCTGGCTTCAGCCCCTTTCCAGGGGAGTAAATGGTTCTGTCTAGCTGGCGTTCCAGGCACCACTGCGCTATGAAGGAAAAAACAAGTCCTGCAGCTAGATTGGTTTCTGCCCAAGTGGCTGCCCAGTTTTGTGCTTGAAACCCAGGGCCCTGGTGGCATAAGCACCAGAGGGAATCTCCTGGTCTGCAGGTTGTGAAGACCATGGGAAAAGCATAGTATCTGGGCTGGAGTGCGCTGTTCCTCACGGCACAGTCCCTCACAGCCTTCCTTGGTTAGAGGAGGGAGTTCCCTGACCCCTTGCACTTCCTGGGTGAGGTAACGCCCCACCCTGCTTCAGCTCATCCTCTGTGGGCTGCACCCACTGTCTAACCAGTCCCAATGAGATGAGCCTGCTACCTCAGTTGGAAATGCAGAAATTACCCACCTTCTGCATTGATCTTACTGGGAGCTGCAGACCAGAGCTGTTACTATTTGGCCAGCCACCTAGAGGTTTCCATATATATCTTTTACATCCAATTGTTGTGGTGATATTTAAGTCCTCCCTTTTCTTATTGATCTTCTGTCTCATTTTCTATTATTGAAAGTGAAGTATTGAAGTCTCCTCCTATTCCTATTTCTCTGTTTGATTCTGTCGATATTTGCGTCACATATTTTGGAGTTATGATATTTGGTGCATATGATAATTGTTATATTTTCTAGGTGGAATGATTCATTTATCATGATTTAATGTTCTTCTTTGTCTCTTATAAAAGTTTGTGACTTAAAGCCTATTTTGTCTGCTATTATTATAGCCACCCGGGTTTTCTTTCTCCACTATTTATTCAATGGAATATTTTTTTCTCTCTGTTTTTTTTTTTCTTTTTCAGAAACATGATCTCACCCTGTCACCCAGGCTATAGTGTAGTGCCATGATCGTAACTCACTGTAACCTCGAACTCCAAGGCTCAAGCACTCTCCGTATCTCAGCTTCATATGTAGCTGGGATTATAGGCATTTTCCACCATGTCTGGCTTTTTGTTGCTGTTGTTTGTTTTTTAGAGACAGTGTCTCACTGTGTTGCTCAGGCTGCTCTCTAACTCCTGGCCTGGCCTCAAGTGATCCTCTTGCCTTGGCCTTGCAAAGTGCTGGAATTACAGGCATAAGCCACAGTACATTTGTCTGGAATACATTTTTCGATCTTTTCACTTGCCCTGAGGTAAGTCCTTAGACCTAAAGTGAATCTCCTGTAGACAGCATAGTGGAATGGATTCCGAGTTTTTGTTTATTTTCCATTCTGGCAATCTGTCTTTTGATTGGCATTGAAAGTAATTTACATTCATGTTTAATGTACATGTAATGTAATTACTAATAGGAAAGTACTTACATGTAAAATAATTACTAATAGAAAAAGACTTACTAATGCCATTTGGTAATGGTTTTCTGTATGTCTTATGGTTTTTTTGTCTTTCACTTCCTCCCTTACTGTTTTTGTGAATGTTTAGTTCATTTTTGTAGTGCCACATTTTGATTCCCTTCTTATTTTCCTTTGTGTATATTTTCTTTGTAAAAATTTTCTATTCTTTGTTTTTAACATAGATATTACATAAAATATTTAAGTTATAACAGTCAATTTTAAACATAACAACTTAACTTTAATTTCATACAGAATCTCTACTTGTTTACCACTCCACTTTCCTTTTTGTTATTGATGTCACAAATTACATCTTTATAGATTGTATACCAATTAGCATAGATTCATAAATGTTTCTTAGCTTGTGTTTTAAATTCTATTAAATAAAGTGAAGTTATAAACCAAAATCTTAATAATATAGGTTTTAATATTGTTCATCTATTTATGTTTAATGGGTTACTTTATATTTTTGTATTGCTTCAAGTTATCCTCTAGTGTCCTTTCATTCCAACTTGAAGGATTCCCTTTAGCATTCATTGTAGAGTAGATCTAATGATAATGAATGAATGAATGCTATTCTTTGTTTATCTAGGAATGTCTTAATTTCTCCCTGAATTATGATGGACAGTTTTTCGAGATACAGAATTGTCCTTTGACTTTTTTTGTTCTTAATATCAATACTTTAAAAATATAATCCAATTTCCTCCTAGCCTAAAATATTTCTGCTGACAAATCTACTGATAAACCTACTGAGGAAAACTTGTCTCTATTTGCTTTAAAGATTCTCTCTTCTTCTTTGACATTCAACTCTTTTATTATTATCTCTCTTAGTGTGGGTGTCTTTGAACTTTTCATGTTTTGAGTTTTTTAGCCTCTTGAATTTGTATGTCTTTTTCCAAATTTGGGAGATTGTGGTAATTATTCCATCAAATAACCTCTCTTTCCCTTTCTTTGTATCTTCTTCTGAGACTTTGATAATGCATGTATTAATCTACTTGATGATGTCCCATAAGTCCCTTACTCTGTTTACTTCCTTATTTTTTCTTTCTTCTCCTCAGATCCATACTTTTAAATGATCTGTCTTCATGTGTGCTGGTTATTTCTTTTACCTGTTCAGGTCTGCTGTTGAGTTTCTCTAGTGTATTTTTCAATTCAGTTATTAAATTTTACAGCTCCAGAATATTCATTTGATTCTTTTTATTAATTTATATATTTTTATTAATATTTTTATTATGTTAAGGTATTATTTTTCTAAGTTCCTTAATGCTTTGTCTGTGTTCTCCTTCAGCTTTTTGAGCATATTTAAGACATTTGTTTTAAAAACTTTATCAAGTAACTTCTAAGACTGTTTACTTACGGATGGTTTCTGAAGATTTAGTTTGTTATTTGAAATGGGACATCATTTCCTGTGTCTTTTATGCATTGTGATCTTTTGTTGAAAATTTGATTTGAAAAAACAATCACTTCTTACAGTGCTTGTAGATTAACTCTATAGAGAAGACACCACTAACCACTCTTGCATGAAAACTCAAGATCTTCTCTGGCCTTTTCTGAGGATACATGTTCATGGGGCCTGTGCATGTGCTCTATTACCCAATTCCCCATGTACATGGCTGATTTTAAATATCTTCATTCCTTTAAAAGCCTCATTTCTGTTTCTTCTCTGGTCCTTAGATGTTCTATTATTCTGTTTGTAATCTCTTGCCCTCAGGCATCCACAAGTCTGCAGTTTTCCTGTAGTTTTCACACACGACTGTGCCCACTATTGTTTTCAGTACCTTACAATCTGATATTACATCTATGCCACTGTCCCCATCAGCGCTCCAGTTAAGACAAGACAGAAACCATTACCTTGGGTAGGCCCAAGACAAGCCACGTTATTGTGAACAAGTTTTACTGTTTTTCTTCTGTATTGAGAAACTAGGAATTAAGGAGGCTTCCTCCCAGCTATGCCACAACAGAACAGGGAGGGGGTAGGGACATGGGCAAGAAAAAATGCCACAAAACATATCACCATTTTGAGTGTGGCTTTTTCTTGGCTGAGGGTTCTCTTAGATGCTGCAGCTTCTTAACTGATTTCCAGAGTTGTCATAAAGCTACTTTGGTCCATATGTTGTGTACTTGGTGTTTCCACAGGGTAGTGAGCACTTGGCTCTTCCTAATTCACCATCTTGCTGACATCGCTCATTATGCTTGTTTTGAGTTATGAACATTGCATGATAGAAGTTGTCTTCTGTGTTTTGCTTTTTGAAGCAAAAATTATGTCTTTAATATTTATCATAGTTGTAAAATATAGTTGTAGTTCCTCAAGTATCACAGTTGGATAATATTATGTAGGGTGAATATGCCAATGCATATATATCCATTATACTACTACAACATTTATATTAGTCTATGTTTTTGCTATTACAAAATTGTTGCCATATACATTGTATTCTAGAAATGTTGAAGAAACATCTCCCAGTGTAATCTTTTTTAATTTTTATTTAAATAGGTTTTGGGGGAACAGGTGTTGTTGAGTCTCATGGACAAGTTATTCAGTGGTGCCTTCTGAAATATTGATGTACCCATCACTGGAACAGGGTACACTGTACCCAATGTATAGTCTTTTATGTTATGAATACCTTATAATAGAATTGCTGGATCAAAAACAATATCAATATTCAACTTAAAAAAAAATACCCATTGTTTTCCAAAGTAAATTTGCTTGTTTAAACTATTATGAGCACGATATAACATTGGAGTTCCCACTGATCCACATTCTTGCTAACATTTCTTTAATGTTTGCCAAATTAATGAATGTAAAATGGTATAACTTCCTAGATTTAATATACATTTCTCTGATTAATAATGAAATCTAGCACATTTTTCTAATCACATTTATTCCTGTGGTGTTCAGGCTGGTCTGTTGTTTTATCCTGTCTATGTGTCATTGATTTGGTTTGCAAAAACAAGCATCTCTTTCTTAATGTCAGTAATTTGATCCTGCATATCAAATATTCTATGTAAAAATGCTAATTGAAAACCATTCTTTAAAATCAGAAATTTTACAGTTTGTTACAAATCAATCTCAAAACCTAAATTTAAAACAGTGAAATCTCTATTTATGTGTAAACATCTTTCTTCTTAAGACGTAAAATGCTTTAGGTATTATTTCTCTTTTACCAATCAATTAATATAGTTTTTAGCAACAGTTGCTAAATATTGTCTCTCTTAGTTCTAAAAACAACCTCATGTATATATATATATATGTGTTCAAAAAAATTTAATATTGATAAAACCAAGATACCTTCTCTTAGATAGTGTTAACCAAAGAAGAACATTCTGCAGGCTATATTTTAGTATTTTTGAAATCTTTCTGTAGATTTTTATAGGAATAGAGTATAATTGTATTTTACTTATCTTTTTATTGTAGCTACTTTCAAAATCTTATCTTTATCTTAGAACTTCAATAGCTTTACTACAATGAGCTTATAAGTGAATTTATTTTTTTTGTGTTTACATTTCCTCTTATTTCTGAGGCTTTAGTCATTTATTCCGCAAATATTTATTAATATTTATTACATATCTAATTTATGCCTGGAAGGGTTCTACATACTGACAGTAATGTAATAAATTAATAGACAAAAATCCTTGTTCTTTTGAAATTTAAGTTTTTCATCTCTCTCATAATTTCTGAAAAATCCTCAACCGTAGTATTTTTATAGATTGGTTCTCATTCATCCTCTCAGTTTTCTCATTTTGAGACTCTGATTAGATATATTTTAGACCTTTTCATTCTATCTTCCGCTTGTATTATCCTCTCATATTTTCCAATTCTTTGACTTTCTGTACTACATTCTGACTATTTATTCAGATCTATCTTTAGATTTACAAATTTCTATTCAGCTGTGTTTAATCCAACTTTCATTAGTTCCTTAGAATTTGATATATTAAAAAGCATGTTATTGAGATAAAATTTACCTAAAATAAAATCTATAAAGGTTTATTTGTTTATTCAGATAAATTTTGACAATTGTTTATATTTGTGTAACCCCCTCTCAAGGTCAGTTATAAAACATTCCCATACCTCAGGAAGTTTCTTTACACATCTTTCCAGTCAAGTTCTCCCTGAGAAGCATTATCACAGATTAGTCTCACCTATTCTTATATTTTACATAAATAGAATAATACAGTGTGTATTTGAGGGAAGGGAGTTTGGGAGTGGTGAGTATACACTGGATGCGGTGGGATATAAATAATTTATAATCAAAGAGCAGAATATGGCAAATTAAAAATGGCTACTGATACATTTTCACAACTTTCATCATGATATAAAGCCTAGTATAGCTCCATTTTAATATAGTCTGGTCCTGACACTTACTTGACCAAAAAATTGCAGCAAAAAAGACATGGCTTGTCTTCAGAGGCCAAGGGTTAACGTAGCTTTTCTGACTTTTTGATGTATCAGCTTGGCTAAGCTGAACTACAATTTCAATAATTTCCATTCTAGTTTGATTTTGTTTCAGGAAGATGACAAGGGATTTTTCTTTAGGAGATTTGGAGAACTAAGGGAAGGCAATGGCCGTTTCTTAGCAAACACAAAACTTCAGTTCTTCCATCAAACATTAATCTAGCTGTTGCTAGGTATGGATTTTTCAATCACAATTTTTCAATTGTAGGGTGATTAATATTCCTAATATTTTGACTTTAATCTACTGACTTTAAATTCATCAGAAGAGAGATTATCCAGGGTAGAATTTACTTAATCAGTCCAAAATATTTAAAGGTTTTCATAGATCTCCTGTATGAGTGAGATTTTAGACACTGAGTCTAGAATTTCTCCCTTACTCTAGAACTTTCTTTCCAACTGCCATCTATGGACCAAAAACTTCAACCCATGCCTATGGAATTTCATCCTGAGTTTGATCTTCCCTTCTTGACTGCTTGTTCAATGGACTTCAGACATGCTTAGTCAATTCCCTCAATTGAATAAGATCCCTTTTAAGAAATACATATAAATGCATACATAATCTACCAGTTCAGCTTCTCTGGTAACCTGAATAATGCAGAATTTAAGTAGCAATAGATAGCTAATACAAATTTTGTTATCTTTATTGCAGTGCTGCTTATGAGAAAAGCAATGGGCAGAATCTGGAAGATTTATTAAGGGCATGACACAGCAAAATTAAATCACTCTTAATAGTTAGAAACTTGGACTTGGAGGACACTAGGGGTGAGAGCTCAAAAAGTAGGGAAGGATATATTAATGGAAATTGGAGGAAGAAGGACCATTGTTTTATAGTGTTGGTGAACTTAGCAGAAATGTGACTTTCGGTTATGTGGAATAAAATTTAACTGATCACCTTAGATATTTAGATGAGATCTGCAAACAAAGTGTTCAATGTATGTCATAGTTTTGTCGCTTATTAGTAAAATGTGAGAGAAAAGATTTAAATTGAAGAAAGCAGTGTTATATGAAAAGCAAGCAAGACTTGATAATTTTGGAAATTTTCAGCTTATCAAGTTGCCCAAAGAAACTGAATTAGGAGATTCACTGTTAGAAAATTGTGTTCTAGAGAAAAGGCTGTGGGTGACTCTACAACTATTGGGAACAGGCCCCCCAAATCTGGTCATAAACTGGCCCCAAAACTGGCCATAAACAAAATCTCTGCAGCACTGTGACATGTTTGTGATGGCCCTGACGCCCACGCTGAAGGTTGTGGGTTTGCCGGAATGTGGGCAAGGAACACCTGGCCCACCCAGGGCCGAAAACCGCTTAAGGCATTCTTAAACCACAAACACTAGCATGAGCAATCTGCCCCTTAAGACATGTTGCTGCTGCAAATATCTAGCCAGACCCATCCCTTTATTTCGGCCCATCCCTTTGTTTCCTTGTAAGGAATACTTTTAGTTAATCTATAATCTATAGAAACAATGTTTATCACTGGCTTTCTGTCAATAAATGTGTGGGTAAACCTCTGTCAGAGGCTCTCAGCTCTGAAGGTTGTGAGACCCCTGATTTCCCACTCCACATGCTATATTTCTGTGTGTGTGTCTTTAATTCCTCTAGCGCTGCTGGGTTAGGGTCGTGGGGGTTAGGGTCTCCACTACCGAGCTGGTCTCGGCATACAACCCTTTCCTGAAACCTCAGAAAGATAAAAATATTACAGTATCAGTCTCACAAAAGTTTATTTGAAAAGATTTTTTACCTCACTGATCTCTTAACCAAATCAGAAAATTACTTGGAACTGTAAGGGCATTTTCTCTCATCCAACTTAGCAGGAGCCAGAAAGAATTAGAGAAGCAGTTATCTTGAAAAGATCAGTGGGTCTGTCTTTTGTCTAATGAAATGAATCCCTATTAAATACATGAAGGCTCACTAGCTTCTTAAGAAATGTATTTTAGCAGAAATGCTGTCAGCTTGGACTAAAAAAAAGACACAGAACTGAAAACAAAACATGTTTCTTGGATTTCCAAAATTCTACTGGCAGGAAGCAGACTGAGCTGCAAACACAAGCTACTTTCCGTGAAAAAGGAAGAATGATTTGAAGGGCAGAAACAAAAAAACTCATAGGGCACAGCTAAATGTTCCAAAGATTATTCCTTATCATTGAAACCCGATCAAGGAGCTTTGGTTAGAGTTTGCCTGTCTAGATTTCATAACTTCCATGAACCAGTGACTTAATTTCACCTTTCATTTTCTCCCTCATTCAAACTGAGATGTCTATAGCTATTATCTTGTATCTATCCTACTATAGTATGTTGAGTGTTGTATTAGTCTGGGTTGGCTCATGTGATTATGGAGGCTGAGAAATTCAAGATATGCAGCTGGCAAACTAGAGACCCAGGAGAGTTGATGGAGTTGTTGTTTGAGTCCAAAGGCCTGAGAACCAGGAGAATAGATTGTGTAACTTCCAGTCTGAGTTTGAGTCTGAAGGTAAGATAAGACCAATGCCCCAGTTTAAAGTCAATCAGGCAGAGAGAAAGAATTCTTTTTTACTCATATTTTTTTCTATCCAGGACTTCAATGGATTGAATAGAGCTCACTCACACCGGGAGGGTAATCTGCTTTACTCAGTCTACTGATTCAAATGTTAATCTCATCCAGAAACACCCTCACAGACACACCCAGAAATAATATTTAACCAAATTCCTGATTACCACGTGACCCAGTCAAGTCAGTACCTAAAATTAACCATCATAGTACACTTTGTGTACTATGCAGATAACTTGTCTCTTTACTTTCACAAATCCACAATACAAAGAAATATTTTGCCTCACAAGAAAAATTGATTAAATCTATAAGTGTCACTTGCACCTGGTCCATATATAGTTGACGAGATTTTGAAATTTGAGCTGATGCTGTAATGGAATATGAGATTTGGGTGGTATTGGGGTGGGATGAGTATATATTGCATATAAAAGAGACATAGATCACTGGGGAATCAGAGGGTAGCCTTTTGTGAGAACTTCCTAAGGTGACTCTCCCCACCAATGATTTATGCCTTTTATAATCCCTTCCCATGAAGTGTGGTCAAACCTTACTTGCTTCTAGCCAATAGCATATAGCATAGCTGATGTGGCAGTCACTCCCGTGATTATGCTATATAAGACTATCTTAGCTGAGCAGAAAGAAATATTCTCCTGCTGCCTTTTTAGTATAAGAGTTTGGTATATAGCAATATATTACTGATATTCAGATATACATAGATAAACATGTACTTTTTGAAAAGTATTTTGCATTTATCCAGATAGTTAATCTTTCCACATTTCTTCTTGAAGATCTGGAATTCCATATGTTTCCATCTGGTAGCTTTAGCCTGACAAATCTCTTAGAATTTCCTGTAGGGAAGATCAGCTGGAGACAAATTGTCTTATATTTCATCTATCTGAAAATGCCTTTACTTTTTCATTTTATAAAAATAAACTATAATAAAGTATAATTTTATGTTATAAAATGCACATATTTAGTTTATGGTTTGGTGATTTTAACATATGTATATGACCATTGTAATGTATGACTGTAATCAATATATATTTTTTAATCATCTCAAAAGTTGCCCATATGACCCTTCCCAGCATATCCTTGCTCCCTCTCCCAGGACGTAGGCAACATTGATTTGTTTTCTATCATTGGATTACAGTCATATTTCCTGGAGTTTAATATAAATGAAATCTCATGGCATATTCTCTTTTGTGACTAGTCCATAGTGATCCTGAGTTTCATACATGTTGTTGTGCATATGAGAGGTTTGCTGACTTTTATTACTGTGTAGTGTTCCTTTGTGTGGACACCTCACAATTTGTTTATGTATTCTTTTATTGATGGATGTTTAGGTGGTTTCTAGCTTTTACTTATTATCAATAAAACTACTATTGCCATTTGTGAACAAGTCCATTGTGGACATGTGTTCTATATACCTTGGGTAAGCATGTAAGAATAACATTTCTGGGTCATTGGTAAGTGTATATTTGAACTAAGAAGTCAGTAAACCATTTTTCAAAGTAGTTGTATTATTTTCTGTTCTCCCCAGCATTATTGTAAGGCCCAGTTCCTATACATCCTTGTTAACGTACGGTGCAGTACTGTATTTACAATTTTAGCTCTTCTAGTGGGTACATAGTGTCATCTCATTTTTATTTTAATTTATTTTTTTGATAACTAATAATGTTGAGCATTGTGATAGGCAGAATAATGATCTTCCAAAGATGTCCACATTTTAATACCTAGAACCTATGAATATGTTACCTTACATAGCAAAAGGGACTGTAGAAATGTGATTAAGCTTTAAGGACTTTCAGATGAGTTTATCCTGGATTAGCTATGTGGATCCAACCTAATCTCATGAGTCTTTAAGAATGTCAAATCTTTCCCAGATAAGCCAAGGGTCAAGGGAGATGTGGCTATGGAAGAATGATCAGAGACAGGCAAAGGTGCTAGCCTTGAAGATGGATGAAGGGGGTCATGATCCAAGGAATGTGGGAGTTCTTTAGAACCTGAAAAAAGAACAATAAATGACTCTTTTCTAGAGTCTCCAGAAAGAAATGCACTCCTGCAGACAATTTAATTTTAGCCCAGGTAGAGCCATGTAATTTCTATCCTAAAGAACTGTAAGATGATAAATTTTGTTGCTTTAAACCACTAGCTTCTTAGTAATTTGATATAGCAGCATAGAAAATTATTGTAAACATATTTTATTGTGCTTACCATTAATATATCATTTTTGGTCAAGTGTCTGTTCAAATATTTCATCCAGATCTTTGATTGTTTGAGTTTATATGGTTGAATTGTAGAAATTGTTTATAATTTCTAAGTCTTTTGTCAAAAATATTGTGTTCATTTTCTATTCCTGCATAATGATGTATCACAAATCTAGCAACTTAATACAAATTCATTATCTTACAACACAGACTTACTCTTCTACAATGGGCCAGGAATCTGTGGATGGCTTTAAAATAAATCCACTGATCACGCTATAATGAAGATTATATAATGGCACTGTGATTTGCATCTGAGGCTGAGTGTTCTCTTCCAAGCTCATTGATTATTGGTATAACTCATTTCCTTGTGGCTGTATGACTGAAGTCCCTGTTTTCCTGCTAACCATTTGCTGAGGAATACTCTCTGTGCCTAGAGACCACCCATATTTCCTTGCTCTATGGCATTTATAGGCAGTTGTAAACATATATGGTTGTTTTCTTTGAGGCCAGGAGTAGCATATTTGGTGCTGCTTTTTGTTTCTTGTTAGGCTAGACCCACCCAGTATAGTCTCCCTTTTGTTTAACTCAAAATTCACTGATTAGTAATCTAATCAAAGGAATAATATCGTATCCTATTTGCTTGTCTTTCCCACACTTAAGGGAAAGAGATAATACAAAGTGTGTACACCAGAGAGCAGAAATCTTGGGGGAGGCACCTTAAGATTCTACCTATTACACATATGTATTGCAAAAACTTTTCCCCCAATCTATGGCTTCTCTTTTCATTTTAAATTGGTATTTTTCTAAGAGGAGACACTTCTAATTTTCTAGAGTACATCTTTTTTTCATTTATGGTTTATGTTTATGTGTCCAGTCTATAAAATCTTTACATATCTTTTGTCATAAATATTTTTTGTTTTCTTTTAGAAATCTTAGAATGTTAACACTTAGTTTAGATCTATGAATCATTTCAATTTGGCTTTTTCTGTATGGTGTGAGGTAAGGATGGAGTTATGTTCTTAAAAATATGAATAATCTGTTATCCAGGACTAGTTATTGAAGAGACAATAATTTTCTCATTGAATTATCTATACTTCTTTGTGGAAAATTAATTAACTTTTTTTTGAGACAGAGTCTCGCTCTGTCACCCAGGCTAGAGTTCAGTGATGCGATCTTGGCTCACTGCAAGCTCTCCCTCCTGGGTTCACGCCATTCTCCTGCCTCAGCCTCCCAAGTAGCTGGGACTACAGGTGCCCACCACCACTCGCAGCTAATTTTTTGTATTTTTTAGTAGACATGGGTTTTTGCCATGTTAGCCAGGATAGTCTCAATCTCCTGACCTCGTGATCCACCCGCTTCGGCCTCTCAAAGTGCTGGGATTACAGGCATGCACTACCGCACCCGGCCAATTGATTTTTTTAATAAATGCTAAGCAAAAAACAGCCAATCTGAAAAGGCTACATATATTTCTACTATATGACATTCAATAAAAGACAAAGATAGACAAAAAGAAAAACAAAAACAAATGTCAGGGTTTAGGAAGAGGACAGAGTGAGAAATTAATAGGTTTAGGACATTAAAACTATTCTGTATAATACCATAATGGTGAATACATGTATATTAACCATGTGTTTCTGGTGCTTTGACATGTGGGGCCTTACTAACACTGCAGAGATTGCCCTTCCAGAGCCAGCCAATTCCTAGAGAGAGTAAATATCTCACTTATAAACACACTTTCCATATGCCAACTAATTAATCCAGAGCTCATACCCTAACACCACCTTTGTCAGTCTTTCACAAGATTCTCACACTCCAGGCAATTATTTATCTGCCCTAATCACACCAGAGCCAGGTACCAGACAACTACGGATAGCCACTATGCCTCAGAGCCGGCTGAAGTTATTCAAATTAGTCAATCCTAAATCTGCTTACCCTGCCTCATGTGTTTCTTCTCATGGAAACCACAATAAAGGCTCTTGTCTATGTTTTCTTCCATTCTCTCTGCCTCCTGACTGAATCTGATGATTTTTTTTTTTTTTTTGAGACGGAGTCTCACTCTTTCACCCAAGCTGGAGTGCAGTGGCACCATCTCTGCTCACTGCAAGCTCTGCCTCTGGGGTTCACACCATTCTCCTGCTTCAGCCTCCAGAGTAGCTGGGACTACAGGTGCCTGCCAGCACACCCGGCTAATTTTTTGTATTTTTTAGTAGGGACGAGGTTTCACCATGTTAACCAGGATGGTCTTGATCTCCTGACCTTGTGATCTTTCCACCTCAGCCTCCCAAAGTGCTGGGATTACAGACATGAGCCACCGCACCCAGGTGAATCTGGTGCTTTTTAGTGTAGCTCCCCTGTGTACCCTCCTCTTGAAAACTCCTCTTTAGTGTACCCTCCTCTTTAGTGTACTCTCCTCTTAAAAACTATGAGTTACAAACAACCTTTTCAATGGCAGATAGTAACCTCAGGAGACCTGTTGACGTCACCATACCTGCATAATAATTAAAAACTACATTTTGAAATATGTCATAATACATGTCATAATACATTTGTCAAAGCCAAATGTCAACACAGAGTGAACTCTAAGGTAGAGACTTTAGTTAATAATATTGTGTCAATATTGACTCATCAATTGTAATAAATATATTACACTAATGCAACATGTAAATAACAGGAAACTGTGTGCAGGAAGCAAGTGAGTATGTGGGAACTCTATATTTTTACACTAAATTTTTCTGTAAACCTAAAACTGCTCTAAAAATAAACTCTATTAATATTTTAAAATAGGTTTATTTCAGCATCTTTCATCTGTTTCATGGATATATATGTCTTTCCTTAAGCTAATACCACATTATGTTGGTTAAAATAGTTATTTAGTAATTTATGTAATTAGTTATTCCAAGTATTCTAACTTCGTTCTTCCTCTTCAAAACTGCTCTTGCTTTGTTGCTTCTTGTATCAAATTTTAGAATCAGCTTGATGATTTAAAAAAATGAAATATAAAATGTTGAATGCAGTTGTATCATATAAATTGTTCAATATGGGAATAATTGGTATCATAAAAAGCATTGCATCTTCCAATCAATGAATATGGCATACCTGACCATATATATAGGCCCCCGCACTTCCTGGATTTTTTTTAGATTTCTTTGTGTCCTCAGCAATCTGATGGGTTGAAAAAGTAAAACTTTCATTTTGTAGCTTATTTGGATTTTTCTCATTGTTTTTTGAAAGCAATAATTTCTCAACTTTTTACGTAGTACCAGAAGTAGAAGAACCTATTGAGTTCAAAATTTCAACAAATACGTATGGGTGCTTATGTGTATATACACACTTTTCTAACATTTTTATTTGGCTGTTTTTAAAATACCACTCTATTTTTCAGAGACTTGTATTGCTTGTTCCTTTTTCAAAGTCCATATTTTATTTTGTTTAACATTTAACAAATAATTTACAGTCTGTTTTTAATAATTCCAATTTAAGTATTAGGTATATAAATCCCTTGCTGTTGTTGTTTATTGCCTGCAGAGTCTCACTTCTGTCAATTCATTTGCTTCATTGTTCAGTAAATTTATATCTCTGATTTTTGTCTGTGGTAATATAAAGGCCTACATAGGACATGTTTTGAATGCAGCTGTCTCAATATCCTTGATAAAATGGTCTCAGGTTTATCTCCCTTCTTTGAGACTTTTTCATGTTTTAATCCATGGACTGGAATGCTGAATTTGGCAGTTGTTTCTAGAGTAACTACATTTTTTTTTCTTTCAATGGCTGCTCAGAACTCGCTTTTCTGGTTTCATTTCAAACTCAGTACTTTGTCATTTTTGGTGATGGTGGTCGTGCTTAGAGGTTTCTTTTTTCTTTGCTAGTCTAGAAATGCACTAAAATGTGTATTTTATGAAATTTTCCTCAGTTTTATAGAGAGAGGTCTTTTGAAGTGTCTATTCTATCTTACTGCTCAACAATACATTATTTTACCACCTCTCCAAAAGGCTGCAGAAGCCTTATGCCAATAGGATAATAAGGCCCTTGGTGACCTATCCCAATGTCTTAGTACTTTATGTTGTGTATAACAGAATACCAAAAGTAAGAAATTTATATAGAAAAGATAATTTTTTATTGTAGTTATGGAGGTTGAGAAGTCCAAGGTTAAGGAGTAGCATCTGGTGAGAGTTTTCTTGCTAGTGGAGATTCTCATAAAAGTTCTAAGGCATTACTTCTCTATGCAAGTTCACAGAAAGAAAGAAAGAAACAAAGTGAGTCCCACAGCAGTGCGTGATATCATGGTAAGGGGGCTGTGAATACATACTTGCTCAAGTCTTTCTTCTTCTTCTTTTAAAGCCACTAGGCTCCCCCACTTCGATGAAAACCCAGTAATCCATTAAACCATTAATTTTTGAATGAATTAATATGTTCATTAGGACAGAACATTCATGAACCAATTACCTCTTTCAGGCCCTACCTCTCAATATTGTCATAGTGGGGATTACATTTCAACATGAGTTTTGGAGGGTACAAATATTCAAACCATAGTACCCAATTGTATTAATCCATTCTCATGCTGCTATAAAGAACTGCCTGAGACTGGGTAATTTACAAAGAAAATAGGTTTAATTGACTCACAGTTCTGCATTACTGGGGAGGCCTCAAGAAACTTACAATCATGGTGGAAGGCAAAGGAGAAGCAGGCACCTTCTTCACCAGGTGACAGAGTGGAGTGAGTGAAAGTAGGGGAAATGCCAGACTCTGGTAAAACCATTAGATCTTGTGAGACTCACTCTCTATCATGAGAACAGCATGGGGAAAACTGCCTCCATAATCCAATTACCTCTACCTGGTCCTGCCCTTGACATGTGGGGATTATGGGGATTACACTTCAAAATGAGATTTTGAGTGGGGACACAGCCAAACAGTATCACCAATACTCCATGGGTTTTTTTGGGTATATGCATATATTAGATGCTCATCATGATCCCTGTTTATATATATAAATGACAATGAATTTTATTAGATTTGAATTTTAAGTCATCATATTACACATTATCATTACCAACTTCTAGAAATGAAATGCTGCAGGAATAGTTTGCTTATAGTTTTTGCCTCAATTTTTTAGGAATATAAACTAAACAATAAAAGTATGGAATACTCATATTTCAATTGTGTGTATTTAATGTAATTTAAGTGTGCTAAATTTGGCCCAAATATTTTTGAGAAACAAAACAGAATATAGTTATTTGAGGGCTCGCCACACTGTTTTTCACAATGGTTGAACTAATTGACACTTGCCAGCAGTGTATAAGTGTTCTTTTTTCTCTGCAGTCTTGTCAGCATCAGTAATTTTTTGATTTTTTAGTAATAGCCATTCTGACTCTTGTGAGATAGTATCTTATGTGTTTTCCTGGTTTCCTATGTATTATTAGTTGACGGATTGTATTATTAGTTATTTATGCTTTTTTATGACAGTTTCCTCTAAATATCATTTATTTAGGCATGCTGTTCTTCACTGCTAAATCAAACACTGTATTAGGTTCCTAAATAAAATGATAAATGAATTAATAAATGATTATCCTGTAAAAAAAAGAATATAAATACAGAAAATGTGATATAACTGTTATAATGGATGGAAAATTGAAAAATTCTCCCTACATATTTGTATATCCTATTGAAAGAATGAAATGTAATTATATTAGTCTGTATGTCTCTGTAGTGCTCCATGAGTAACATCAGAAATAGCTCTACTGGCTCTTGTATCTAGTGCAAAGATATGGAGAACCTGAATAAACTAAACTGGGCTTCAAAGGTTATCAACACCAAAAGTAATATATTTCCTCACCTGTACACTCTGTTGATTTTTGTTTTCTGTTTAGTTACTTTCTATACCCTTCTTTCACAGAATTGTCACTGTTTCCTTACACAAATTTCTTTGTCAGGAAGGGTGAATTCATATTAGAATTTTTAGAAGCCAATGATTTCTGCCACTGTTCTTCTACTCATTTCACATTTCCAATAAATTGAAATTCAGAAAGAATTTATAGAGAAAGAAACTTATTTATTGCCATTTCCAACCTTATACATCTCCTTTTCCCAGCAGTATAAATTTATATTGAAGTAATTTTCCATTAGGTGAGATTGCACTTCGCAAAGTCTCCATGGAAGTTCTAAGATACTATAAATTTTGTGTACAAGGCATAAATTGTAGAAAAATGCTAACTAAACTTTTTACAAATATGGAGTGTTCAGTGAAACTGAATATACAGAAATGAATTATTAGGAATGTTTGAGACATAGTTCTAGTACAATGAGGATAAAGAAATATATTATAATATCCATACAAATATTTCATCACCATGAAGTGATACACCTTATACAACTAGAAAGAAGGGTATTACATTCTTTGGATAATTGGCCTTGGGAATAAATATTAATTATTGGTAAATGAAATTGCATTTTCTAAAAAAATGTAAATAAGCATGCTTAGTGAAGTACTGAAATAAAAAGTTATTGTATTACATTTGTTTAAGCCTGTTTTAAGGACATAAAGTGCTATGTTAAATATATATTTATTGATAAATTGAAACATGAGAATAATTTTTAGGTATGTGGACAGTTTGGAAATAAGATATAATAAACCTGGTTTTCCACAGATTTCCTAACATGGAAATAGTACTAAGTGAATAGGAGTCTTCTCTTTACACACCCAGATCCTGTCCTAGGCCAGAACTGAAGTTTAGGACAGAAATGTCGATCTGAGAGCCAGCAATTTATTTGTTTCAAAGACGCACTAGAAAAACACACTGTAACTTGTCATTAGGGACAATTATTTTGTCCCAAAAGGGGAATACTAATTATAATTAATTATAGGAAATGAGGCTGGAGAAGGTATAAGGAGCAGACAAATTTAACCCCTGTGTTAGATCCATAGAGTAGTCTCTCTACACTTCTCTCAGTCTAATCTGATTCATTGTAAAGACTAAATTTCTCCAAGGTGTAAAATGTGATGATTTTATATACATATACATTGTGTAATAATTATTAAGAAGGGAAAATTCTTTGAGGCGAGACTGTAATAGAAAAAGTTTCTAAAGGAAGACACATTAGACTGAGCCTTGTATAATGAGTAGGTATCTAAAACATATCTAAATGATTGATGAAAATAAAAAGAAGACTGAACAATAGTATGGATGTAACGTATCAGTTAACTATTAACATAAAAATACGATATGTAACAAAGCACTCCAAAATTCAGTGGCTTAAAACAGCAACAATAATTTATTCTCACTCAAGGATCCAGGGGTCAGCTGGGGGTTGGCTGATTTTAGCTGAGCTTGACTGGACTTGGTTTGGCTTTACTTGCCTTGGTCATAAGCTGCATCTTCCTTATACCAGCAGGAAAATTAAATTTTCATGGTATTGGTTGAAGCACAAGAGGAAATTCTCAATCTTGCAAGAACATTTGAAGTCTCTGCTGACGTTAAGTCTGCTTAAGTCACATCTAACATCTCTTAGCCAAAGCAAGTTATATGACCAAGTCCAAAGTCAAGTGGTAGGCAAGTATACGCTGAATGTAATGTAAGGAACTGCAAAAATTACACATTAAAGACATGGATTCAGGGTGGGTAAAAAGTAGAGCCACTTAGTCAATCTACTACAGGTAAGAATGCACAACTTATTTGGAGGCTTGTGATTTTTTAGAACATTTTGTATGATGCCAAAGATTCTCATAAGGAAGTATTTGGAAAACCATTTTGAATGATAAATTGAGGCTGCAAGGTGAAAATCTATGGATAGAAGGCTAAGGAATTCATATCCTTTAAATAATGGAGAAGTAATGAAGATTTATGAGCATTGTAAGGGCTCTGTGAAGGTGATGTTTTATGAAGATTACCCCAGATGTGTTATATAGACATATTTCGAATGGAAAGAGACAATGACATTGGACATGAGATAGGAATCAGCAAACCTAATTGTTAGAAATCTGGAGTGGATATATTGATATCTGAGAAAGTAGATTTCAGGACAATACACATGAAAATAAAGAAAGAGAAATATTTGACAATGATAAAACCATAAATCATCAATAAAACAAGCATCCTAAAAGTGTATTTAACAAAAGAGTTTCAAAATATGTGAAACAAAATATAATTTAAGTAAGGTGAGACATAAACAAATCTACAATTAAATTTCAAAATTCCCATATTCTTGTCCCAGAAATTGACAGAACAAGTAGACAGAAAATCATAAACATATAGAGGACTTGAGCAACACAATCACCCACTTCAAACTAATTTTTATTTATAGAACAATAATCCCAATGAAAGAAAATATGCATCCTTTTCAAGGAAACATGGAATATTCATCAAAATAGACCATGTAATTCACCATAAACTAGGTTAATTTTAAAGGATTGCAATCATGAAGACTCTGTTTGCTGAACAAAATTTAACTAAATTAGAAATCAAATCACAACAAAACATCAGTAGAAAACATGAATATTTTGAAATTAAGTAACATACTTTCACATAACCCATGTATCAAACAAGAAATTAAAAGATACATTAGAGAAAAATCTGAATTGAGTGATTATGAAAACACCACATATCAAAATGCATACAGTGCAACTGGAACAATAATTAGAGTTCTTCATGCTTACATTAGAAAAAAATGTTTTTTATTTCACTTGTTTTCGGGGTACAAGTGATTTTTGATTATATGGATAAGTTCTTCAGTGGTTACTTCTGAGATTTTGGTGCACCCATCAACAGAGCAGTCTACACCATACCGAATATCTAGAATTTTACAACTCATTCCCTCCCATCCTTACCTCCCTGAGTCCCCAAAGTTTATTATATCATTCTTATGCCTTTTCATCCCCATAGCTTAGTTCCCACTTATAAGTGAGAACATACAATATTTGTTTTTCCATTCCTGACTTCACTTAGAGTAATGACATCCAGCTCCATCCAAGTTGGTGCAAAATACATTATTTTATTCATTTTTATGGCTGAGTAGTATTCCATAGTGTATATATACCACATTTTCTTTATCCACTCATTGGTTGCTGGGCACTTAGCTTGGTTCTATATTTTTTCAATTGAAAATTGTGCTGCTATAAACATGCTTGTGCATGTATCTTTTTCATATAATTACTTATTTTTATTTGTGTAGATATCCAGTAGTGGGATTTCTTAATCGAATACTAGTTCTACTTTTAGTACTTTAAGAAATATTGATACTGGTTTCCCCTAATGGTTGTACTAGTTTATCTTCCCATCAGCAGTGCAAAAGTGTTCCCTTTTTGCCACAGCCATGCCAATGTCTACTATTTTTTGAGTTTTAAAGTATAGCCATTCTTGCAGGAGTAAGGTGGTATCTCATTGTGGTTTTCATTTGCATTTCCCTGATAATTAGTGATATTGAGCATTTTTTCATAAGTTTATTGGCCATTTGTATATTCTCTTTTGAGAATTGTCTAGTCATCTGATTGCCCACTTTTTGATGAGATTATTTGTTTTTTTCTTGCTGATTTGTTTGAGTGCCTCTGGATATTAGTCCTTTGTCAGATGTATAGTTTGTGAATATTTTCTCCCACTTTGTTGGTTGTCTGTTTCCTCTGCTGATTATTTCTTTTGTTATGTATAAGCTTTTTAGTTTAATTAGGTCCTAACAATTTATTTTTGTTTTTGTTGCATTTGCTTTTGGTTCTAGGACATGAAGTCTTTGCCTAAGCCAATGTCTAGAAGAGTCTTTCTGATGTTATCTTCTAGAATTTTTTTGGTTTCAGGTCTTAGATTTAAGCCTTTGATTCATCGTTAGTGGATTTTTGTATAAGGTGGGAGATGAATGAAGATCCATTTTCATTCTTCTACATTTGGTTTGCAAATTTTCCCATCACCATTCATTGAATAGGGTGTTCTTTCCTCACTTTAGGTTTTCATTTGTTTTGTCAAAGATCAATTGGCCGTAAGTATTTGGCTTTTTTTCTGGGTTATCTATTCAGTTCCATTGGTCTATGTGCCTATTTTTTATACCAGCACCATGTTGTTTTAGTAACTATAGCCTTGTAGTATAATTTGAAGTTAGGTAAGGTGTTGTCTCCAGTTTGGTTCTTTTTGCTTAGTTGCTTTGCCTATGTGGGCTCTTTTTTTGTACCATATGAATTTTAGGATTGTTTTTTCTAGTTCTGTGAAGAATGATGATGGTATTTTGATAAAAATTACCTTCAATCTGTACGTTGCTTTGGGCAATGTAGTCATTTTTACAATATTGATTCTATCGATTCATGAGCATGGGATGTGTTTCCATTTGTTTGTGTCATCTATGATTTCTTTCAGCAGTGTTTTGTGGTTTTCCTTGTAGAGATCTTTCACCTCCTTGGTTAAATACATTCCTAGTTTTTTTTTTTTTTTTTTTTTTTTTTTTTTTTTTTTTTTCAGCGGTTGCAAAAAGAATTGAGTTCTTGATTTGATTTTCAGCTTAGTTGTTGTTGGTGTATAGCAGTGCTACTGATTTGTGTAGATTGATTTTGTAACCTGAGACTTTACTGAATTCATTTTTCAGATCTAGGAGCTTTTTGAATAAGTCTTTAGGGTTTTCTAAGTATACAATCATATTATTGGTGAACAGTGACAGTTCAACTTTTTTTTTTGCAATTTGGATGCCCTTTATTTCTTTCTCTTCTCTGATAGCTCTGGCTAGGACTTCCAGTACTATATTGAATAGAAGTGGTGAAAATGGGCATCCTTGTCTTATTCCAGTTCTCAGAGGAGGATGCATTCAAGTTTTCCCCCTTCAATATAATGTTGGCTATGAGTTTGTCATGTATGGCTCTTATTACTCTGAGGTAAATCTCTTCTATACCTATTTTTTGAGGGTTTTTATAATAAAGGGATGATGGATTTTATCAAATGTTTTTTCTGCATCTATTAAGATGATGATATGGTTTTTGTTTTTAATTCTATTTATGTGATGTATCACATTTATTGACTTGTGTATGTTAAATCATCACCGTATCCCAGGGATGAAACCCACTTAATCATGCTGTATTATCTTTTTGATATGCTTTTATATTCTGTTAGCTAGAATATTTTTGAGAGTTTTTTTATTATTATACTTTAAGTTCTGGGATACATGTGCACAACGTGCAGGTTTGTTACATAAGTATACACGTATCATGGTGGTTTGCTGCACATATCAACCCATCATCTACATTAGGCATTTATCCTAATGCTATCCCTCCCCTAGCCCCCCACCCACCAACAGGCCCTGGTGTGTGATATTCCCCTCCCTGTGTCCATGTGTTCTCATTGTTCAACTCCCACTTATGAGTGAGAACATACAGTTTTTAATTTTCTGTTCCTACGTTAGTTGGCTGAGAATGAAGGTTTCCAGCTTCATTCATGTCCTTCATAGGACGTGAACTCATTGTTTTTTATGGCTGCATAGTATTCCATGGCACATATGTGCAACATTTTCTTTATCCAGTCTATCATTGATGAGCATTTGGGTTGGTTCCAAGTCTTTGCTATTGTGAATAGTGCTACAGTGAACATATGTGTGCATGTGTCTTTATAGTAGAATGATGTATAATCCTTTGGGTATATATCCAGTAATGGGATTGCTGGGTCAATATTGGTCTGTAGTTTCCCTTTTTTATTAAGTCCTTTCCTGGTTTTGGTATTAAGGTGATACTGGCTTCATAGAATGATCTAGGGAGGATTCCCTTTTTCTATATCTTTTGAAATAGTTTCAGGAGGATTGACACCAATTCTTTGAATATCTGATAGAATTCACTGTAACTCCATCTGGTCTTGATTTTTTTTTAGGCAATGTTATTATTACTGATTCAATCTTGCTGCTTGTTATTAGTCTTTTCAGGGTTTCTGTTTCTTCCTGATTTAACCTAAAAGTGTTGTATATTTCCAGGAATTTATCTATCTCTTTTAGATTTTCTAGATCGTGTGCATATAAGTATTCAAAGTAGCCATAAATTATCTTTTACTTGTATGGTATTGGCTGTGGTATCTCCAGTTTTATTTCTACGTGAGCTTATTTGGATCTTCTATCTTCTTTTTCTGGTTAATCTCAATAATGGTCTATCAATTTTGTTTATATTTTCAAAGAATTACCTTTTGATTTCATTTATTTTTCATACTGTCTTCTTTGTTTCCATTTCATTTAGTTCTGCTTAGATCTTTCTTATTTTTTTTTCTAATAGGTTTGGGATTCATTTGTTCTTGTTTCTCTAGTTCATTGAGGTGTGACATTAGGTTGTCTATTTGTGCTCTTTCAGACTTTTTGATGAAGGCATTTAATGCTATGAAATTTTCTCTTAGCATCGCTTTTGCTGCATCCCAGAGCCTTTGATAACTTATGTCACTATTATTATTCATTTCAAAGAATTTTCAAATTCCCATGTTGATTTCATTGTTAAACCCCAAATTATTCAAGAGTAGATTATTTCATTTCCATGTATTTGTATAGTTTTCAGAGTTCTTTTGTAATTGATTTCCATTTCTATTCCACTGTGGTGTGAGAAGATATTTGATATGATCTTGATTTTTTTTAAATTTCTTGAGAAGTGTTTTGTGACCTATCATATGGTCTACCTTGGAGACTATACCATGTGCTGATGAGAAGAATGTATATTCTGAGGTTGTTGGGAAGAATGTTCTGTAAATATCTCTTAAGTCCATTTGTTCTAGGGTATAATTTAAGTTCACTGTTTATTTGTTGACTTTCTTTCTTGATGATCTGTCTAATACTGTCAATGGAGTATTAAAGTCCCCCACAATTACTGTGTTGCCATCTGTCTCATTTCTTAGGTGTAGTAGTAATTGTTTTATAAATTTGGGAGCTCCAGTGTTAGATGCATATAAATTTAGGATTGTAATATCTTTCTTTTGAACTGATCCTTTCATCATGATATAATGGCCTTCTTTGTTTTTGTTTTTGTTTTCATTTTTTTCTGCTGTTGCTTTAATGTCTCTTTTGTCTGAAATAAGAAATAGCTACCCTTGCTCACTTTTGGTTTCCATTTGCATGAAATATGTTTTTCCACTCCTTTACTTTAAGTTCATATGAGCTCTTAGGTTTTAAGTGAGTCTCTTGAAGACAGCAGATATTTTATTGGTGGTTCTTTATCCATTCTGCCATTGTGTATCTTTTAAGTAAAGTATTTAGGCCACTGACATTCTACATTGCCTAGATACTTTATTTTTTCATTGTGTTATTGTTTTATAGGTCCTGTGAGATTTATGCTTTAAGAAGGTTCTATTTTGGTGAATATTGAGCTTTTGTGTCAAGATTTAGAACTCCTTTCAGCATTTCTTGTAGGGCTGGTTTGGTAGTAGCTAGTTCACTCAGCATTTGCTTGCCTCGGCATTTGTTTGTGCTTCATTTATGAAGCTTAGTTTTGCAGGATACCAAATTATTTGGTGACAGTTATTGTTTATGGAGGCTAAAGATAGAACCTCAATCCCTTCTGGCTTGTGAGGCTTCTGATGAGAAATCTGATGTTAACCTGGTTGGTTTTCTTTTATAGTTTACCTGATGCTTTTGTCTCACAGCTGTTAAGATTCTTTCCTTCACCTTGACCAGATAGCCTAATGACTATGTGTCTTTGTGATGATCTTTTTGTGATGAATTTCTCAGAAATTTTTTTAGCTTCTTGTATTTGGGTGTCTAGGTCTCTAGCAAGGCCAGGAAAGCTTTCCTTAATTATTCTCTCAAATAAGTTTTCTCAACATTTATACTTGACTTCTCCCTCAGGAACACCAATTATTCTTAGGGTTGGTTGTTTACATAATCCCACATTTCTTAGAGACTCTTCATTTTTTAGAATTCTTTTTTTAAAATTTTTGTCTGATTGGGTTCATTCAAAAGCCTTGTCTTCAAGCTCTGAAATTCTTTCTTCTACTTCTTCTGGTCTATTGGTGAAACTTTCCACTGCATTTTGTATTCCCCTAAGTGTGTCTTTCATTTTCAGAAGTTCTGATTGTTTTTCTTTATAATGTCTGTTTCTCTGGAAAATATTTTATGCACATCCTCAATTTTCTTTTAATTAAAGTTAGTTCTCACCTTTCTCTGGTAACTCTTTGAGTAGCTTAAAAATCAATCTTCTGAATTTTTCATCTGGCAATTCAGAGATTTATTCTTGGTGTGGATTTATTTCTGGAGAGCTAGTGTGAACTTTTTGGGGTGTTACAGAACCCCATTTTGTCTTATTACCAGAATTACTTTTCTGGTTTCTTCTCATTTGGGTGGACCATTTCTTCAAATTGTTCTTGAATTCATTTTTTTATTGAACTGTGTCTTTTATATTTCTTTTTTTTTTCCTCTTAAGAACCAGTCTTTAATGTTCATATTTTATTTTAGCCTAATTTGATTTTGGTGCTTTTAGTGGTGAAAGTGAAGACTCTGTATGAGTTCCTCGGTTATACAAAATATTTGTGCACCAGCTTTCCCAGATGCTGGCTGTAGTATTTATGTACTCAGTGTGTGGGCAAGTTCATTATCTCTTATGGGGCTGGAATGCCAGGGATCTCTTGAAGCTTATCTCATTCTCTCGTGGTGTATACTTTATTTATTTATTTCCTCCCCAGTATTTTATTTACTGGGTTGATGATTTAAGCTTCAGGCCAATATGGGAGGTATCCTTGAGTAGGCACTGGCTATAGCTAAGGCAGGTAGGTAGATGTAATACCCAATGGTGGGCAGAAGTTCCAGGCTTGATAAAGTTTCCTGGAGGAGCTCTCACTTAGAATTGCTGAGCTTTTATTGGGGTAAGTAGTGGGAGCTACTGCAGCTCCCCTGCAAGGCCAGCAGAAAAGCTGTCTACCTCACAGCCTCATTCTTGTCCAGGTGTTCTCACTATTCAGATAAGACAGGCAACTTTTTTCATCTGTAAGAAATGTTGATGTTCTAAGAAGGGAGGAAATATGGCTCTGCCTTTTATGCAGGCCTGAATCTGTGGCATGCTCCTCTTGAGGGGCTGCAATCACCCTGGATTGTTCCAGGAGGGCTGTCTATACGTGCAACAGTGCTGCATTCCTAGAGGAGAAGCCCCAGCTGCCTCTGCGGTGGTGTGCCAAGGGGAATAAGGACCACTTCTCGAAGCCCTTTAATAATCACAGAGGCTGCCTGCCTGTTGGAGTAGAGGTGCAAAGTTTCTCTACTGTTTCCAGCACTATAGTTGTGTCTGTGCTATAAGAATCTACCCACAAGTGGAAAGATCTGGGACTCACGTCTTACTCTTCAGATTATCATGTCCCATGGGGTGATGCCTTGATGTGGTGCTCTCCCCCTTCCCCTGGAATGGGGCATCCTGAGAGCCAGACTGCAGTGATTGTTATTGCTCTTCTGGGTATAGCCACCCAGTGGGGTACCAGACTCTGAGCTGGTGTTGGGAAATGTATGCAAAGGATCCAGTGATGTGACCTCTCTTCAGGTCTCCCAGCAGTGGATGCAACCACCTGCTCTGATGGAGGTGGCAGGGGAGTAATGTAGACTATGTTAGGTTCCTTTGCTGTAGATAAGCTTAGTGTGCTGGCTTTCTCGAATGCTTGTTATGCTAACAGTGAAGTTCTCATGTGGACAGACTCAGGACCTCTGGTTAGCCAGGGTGTTGCAGGCAGTGCTGTTACCAGCCATTTTCTTTTTCTTGGGTGCAGTGTTATTCTACCAAGAGGTGCTGTAATGGCCTGAGTTGGTTGGCCGCCAGCCGGGAGGTGGCACTTGCAAGAGAGCACCAGCTGCAGTAGTAGCAGTAGAATTTTTGCTTGCTCTAAGTTGTTCAGGGGAAGTATTCTGTTTTCTCAGCTGATGGCTGAGGCCATAAAGCTCCCAAGAGTTTATGTCCTTTTTGTTAATCTATTAGGGCAGGTAGAGATATAGCATCAGGTTTGGGGAGGGTCAGGTCTGAACTCAGACTCTCTTTGGGCAGGGCCTGCCACAGTCACTGTAGGGGATGAGGGATGAATCTCAGGCCACTAGGGTAGTGTTCCAGAGGGGAGAATAACTGCCTCTGCTGTGGAGAAGACTTTTCAAGGGGAGTGGGGAATAGCCAGCAATAGTAGGCCTCACCTAGCTCCCACACAGTTGGCAAAGCGAGTGTCACTCCTGCAGTGCCCTGCTAAGAGCGCCGGGTTTAGATCTAGGTAGCCTGAGTACAGAACTGAACCTGCCCCAGGCTATAAGCTTCCCTACAGAGATAGCAAGCATGATTTTCAGGACATGCCCCTCCCCGTCTGTCCGCAAGGCCGGAAGCCCAGTTTCTGCTCACATATCTGCAGCACACTTCCTGCTCATCCCCAGATTCTGTTCAAGAGAGCTTTTCCCCAGTCAAAATTGTATCACAAAATTAAATTGGGAACTTCTTTCACCCTGCAACCTCTCTCTGAATTCATTGTCTGACTTACCTGAGGGTTCCTGTGAGATATAGTCACAAATAGCTTCCCTGGGCTTGTGCTAGAGACTGGGAATGCTTACAAGGCACTATCCACTGCTGCTTCTACTTTTATATTTCACACCACTCCATAAATCTGTTCCAGCTCTGAGTAGGGTAAAGGGCTTCTTCTGTGATCTGAATTTTCACATTCCTCAGTGGGGATGTGTGTCTGGAGGCACGTTGTCTACTTCTCACATTCTGGAAACTGATAGTTTTTTGCTTGTCTCATGGAGTAAGTTGCAGCCTGCCATTTCTTTCACAGGATCAGTGAATTATTTTGGTTTTCCTGGTAAGTTTCTGTGGTGGTTCTTCAAGAACACATTCACAGTGTGAATCTCTGCCCAGTATTCTGTCCTTCCAAGTGGGAGAGACACACCAACACTGCCTCCTATCCACCATCATTTCTCAGCTTATATTAGAAAAATATTAAAACTATATGATCAATAGACTTCTGCTTATGAACCAGACACAGTAATAGGTACCAGATTTATCCTCTGAATACAGCTGAAAGAACAAGAACAGAAAAAAACAAAAACAGCCAAAAACATATGAATGGTACCGCTTCCCATATGCCAGATTGAAAAACCTTCAAATTCACAAGTAATTCGGTAGTGTCTTGCCTCAGTACTGGGAAACAACTCATCCAACACTGAACACTGTTCTAGTCAGGCCTACCTGGATATTAATAGCAAATATGCATAGGAAAAAATCTCATGGCGAGATTTTATGACGCTTAGAATTAAAAAATGATAAAACACTAAATGTTGATAAATGTTATGGTCTGGATATTTATGTCTACTCAAAATCCTCACCCTCAAGGTGATGGTATTAAAAGTTGGGGCTATTGGGAGGTGATTATGTCATGGAGGCAGAGCCCTCATAAAGATTAGTACCCTTATAAAAGAGGCCTGAGAAAAACCTCTTGCTCATTCTACTCTGTAAGGTTAGTGTGAAAAGAAGGCTATCTATGAGGAAGTGGGCCTTCACCAGACAGTGAATCTGCTAGCTCCTTGATCTTTGACTTCCTTGCCTCCGTATCTCACTGATATATGAGAAACACATATCAGTGGTGTATGTGCTGTCAGGTCTATGGTATTTTGTTACAGCAGTCCTAATGAAATTAACAAGTTTGTGGAACAACTAGAAGTATCATACTTTGACCCTGGGAGTTAAAATTGTTTAATCACTTTGGAAACTCAGCTGTCAACTTCTCCTAAAATTAAACGTATTCCCACCTTATGACTCAGCAATTTCTCTTGATATTTACCTAACAGAAGTAAAATAATGTGCAAAAAAAGATTTGTACAAGAATTTATTAAAAAGCTTTATTCTTAATAGTCTCAGACATTATTATTCATAGTAGCCCTAAAGAAACAACTCAAATGTTCATCACCAGGGGAATAGATGAAAAAATTGTGGAATATTCAAACAATGAAATGCTACCAAGTAATGAAAAGGAACAAAGTATTATTACATGCAACAATCGGGCTGAATGAAAAAGTCTGAACCAAACAAATACTGACTTTGTGATACCATTTATCTAAACTCTTACAACAGGCAAAACTTATCTCTGATGAAAAAAATAAAAATAAAAACAGTGGTTGCCTGGAAGTGAGAGTAGAATCAAATGAGAGGGGGCAGAAGGGAATTTTCTTAAGTGATAGGAATGTTTAATAACTTAATTGGGATGATTATGCAGTTGTAAGATCTCATCAAACTACATGTGTAAGATGTCTCCTTTTCTTACACATGTAAATTATAGCTAAATTTTAAAAATACTTTAAAAATGGTTGACAGAATCTCTTTTAGATATGTGATAATTGAAAATATGACAATGAGTCACAGAAATAAAGTCAAGAGTCAATATAACAAAGTTGAGGTATCCATCAGGATCAAATGCCTCACCATTACCATCATGAAATGCACACACAAGAATAACAGCTCTATGAGGGAAGGATTTATTATTAGCTTTGTTATTTGATTTAACTCTGATGTGGGATTGACATATAGTTATTTCTCAATCAATATCTGTTGAGTAAATCAATATCATCAAAGTTGAAAGAGACAGAATATGAGGAAAGGTCACTGGATTTTCAAGTTTTGTTACCAATGAATTTGAAAGAGTAGTTTAAATAGAATAATGTGTTTAAAATAAATCTCTTCTTTATTAAACAATCCTTGGATATTGAATCTACATGGAGAAGAAAGAGATGCAAAACATGGATTCCAGTAGCATTGAGAAAAATGTTTCCTGTTTTAAGGTATTTAATTGGTAAAACAAATTAACTTCAAGTGTTGAGTAAGAGAATAATGATTTTTGTCTCCCATGTGAAGTTACAGAATGAAAGAAGAAGATTATATGTTCACATATATAATTACTGTGGTAGATTGTAAATGCAGTTTGGACTGCAATTATGACAGCTGCAAACTTATGGTTACAAATTTGGTCCAACTGAAGAGCTTTTGTAGAGATTCTTTTGTTTAATACTAAACTGCTTCTAAAACAAGAATATGTGATACCAAATTCCATGACAGTATTATCCAAAGGAAGAAGCAGTGGTGAATTTTCTTGATGTCCATAAGTATAGAGATATTACTTAAATAAAACCATGTATTTTGTAAGATTTTATAATTCCAAATATGTTCTATGTGTAAATAAAGAAAAAGATGAATTGTAAATAACAAATAAAGCACTTCAACTAATTGGTACTTGCAGGCCTAAAAGGAAAAAAAAGAAAAAAAGAATGATGGTGGTGTTTTGATGGGGATTGTGTTGAATTTGTAGATTGCTCTTGGTAGTCCTTCTAAACATTGGCTTAGGCAAGGATTTCATGACCAAGAACCCAAAAGCAAATGCAATAAAAACGAAGATAAATAGCTAGGACTTAATTAAACAAAAGAGCTTTTGCATGGCAAAAGGAACAGTCAGCAGAGTACACAGACAACCCACAGAGTGAAAGAAAATCTTAACAATTTATGTAACTGACAAAGGACTAATATCCAGAATCTACAATGAACTCAAACAAATCAGTAGGAAAAAATACAAACAATCCCATCAAAAAGTGGAGGACATCAATAGACAGTTCTCAAAAGAAGATATACAAATGGCCAACAAACATATGAAAAAATACTCAACATCATTAATGATCAGGAAAATGGAAATCAAATCCACAATGTGATACCACCTTACTCCTGCAAGAATGGCCATAATCAAAAAATCAAAAAACAGTAGATGTCGGCATGGATGTGGTGATCAGGGAACACTTCTATACTGCTGGTGGGAATTAAACTAATATAGCCGCTATGGAAAACAGTGTGGATATTCCTTAAAGAACTAAAGTAGAACTACCATTTGATCCATCAATCCCACTACTGGGTATCTATCCAGAGGAAAAGAAGTCATCCAAAAAAGATACTTGCACATGCATGTTTATAGCAGCACAATTCGCAATTGCAAAATCATGGAACCAACCCAAATGCCTGTCAATCAATGAGTAGATAAAGAAACTGTGGTATATTTATATGATGGAATACTACTCAGCCATAAAAAGGAATGAATTAACAGCATTTGAAGCAACCTGGATGAGACTGGAGAATATTATTCTAAGTGAAGTAATTCAGAAATGGAAAACTAAACATCATATGTTATCACTGATGTGTGGGTGCTAAGCTATGAGGACACAAAGACATAGGAATGATATGATGGACTTCAAGTAGTTGAGGGAAGGGTGGGAGGGGGTCTAGGGACAAAAGACTACAAATATGATGCAATGTATACTGCTTGAGTGATAGGTGTACTAAAATCTCACAAATCACCGCTAAATAACTTACTCATGTAACCGAATACCACCTGTACCCTAATAACTTATGGAAAAATGAAAAAATAAAAATAAAAATAAACAAAAGGTTTATCAGGAGAGGTGGTTAAAATCAAGGTTTTGAATTGACTGAAGATTTTAGTTATCTATGATATAATAGGAACACAGTGAGTTATTAATGATCCTTTAAATAAACAATGAAAGACTCAATCTCCTTACTCTATCACAGGGGGGAAAACAGAACTGGCTGTTGTGAAAGAGGAAGGAATGCTCTTGTCATCACTGATTTGTAATCAACCCTTCCCCCCCCCCCCAAAAAAAGAGTGATGGCCCTGGAAAATTATCAATGGTTTAAACTGCAGCCTCAAGAAAAATGATCGTAAGCCATCAGATAGCCTTCATTTGTTAGTCTAAGTTCCACTGAGAATAGTGAAAGGGATGATAGGGTTGTAGAGATTAAGCAAATTTTTTTCTCAAAATTGAATTCAGTTTTGTGAATCTGAATTGACGAATCATTAAAAAGTGAATATTTCTCCTTACTAGAAAGAAAGGGGAAATAGGACTAGTATACTATGTACAAAGCACACTAACATTTATTTATATTTGGATGTACTATTGACAAAATTATTAAGATAGAAATATATTGATTTCTTACAAGAAATCCTAGATGGATATGATTTACAATTTTTTTTAAATGTATAATAAAAAACTCCCTGTCTGCAAAAGGCCCTTTTCTTGGTTTGAAAAACAACCTGCTCATTATTATTGCATTTTATGAGCACTAGGCATAACTAGTAAGATGGGTACTTTGTATGCACAAAGCTCTCGACATACCCTTTTGTATTCTAGGTTAGTGTTTCTTCACATACATTGGAAATCCATGATAAAGGTTGTCTTTGCTGGGATGAAATAAAACTTCAAATAGTTGCTTTCATTTCTTTCACAAGTTGCTGGAAAATTCCAGGTTCATATCAGTATTTACTACGTTAAAGCAGTGACAAGATAAATTATACATTCCTGGAGAGAAATACGTCATTAGTGATAAACAGTCACAAACTCAGTCAAGCAAGTAATGCATTGCAGGTCAAAAACTACACCCCTGACAATACTGCACATCCAGGTAATACAACACATGTCATATTTGAAGGAGAAAATGCTTTTTCTACTGCTACAGCCTCAACAATTTATACTGTTTGCTAACGTAGAGATATGAAGGATTTGCAGAAGTAGAGGAATGCATTTACAAATTTTATGAACTGTAGGGATGCAATTAGCAACTGAAACTCATCAAGAATATTAGCCAAGTAATAAATCATGGTAGAATTTAATGACTAACAAGATTAAATGTTCATTGTAACTGAAGATTAGGTCCTATGGACAGACGAGATCCAAATTCAATGTTGATAAAATTACACTTGATGTTGGTTGAAACAGCAGGGAGAGGGGATTCTCCATTCTCGAGTTAAGCCCATTTCATATTCCCTCTGTCTACTCAACTGTAGATGAATTAATTATGAATATAATAATAGACTCCTAGTCTCTCCCCAGTCAACAAATACAGCTGCAGAAGCAGTAGGGAGGAGATTACTTTCAGTGTTTAAGTAGTTAAACAAACAGAGCTATATTACTTGAATTTAAAAATCTAGATATAAAATTACCTATAGCTATTCTTCTTTTTCTTTCAAGCAAAAGCTCACAGTATTTTACTGAATATATTGGTAAGTGAGATAACTCTCTCTATTTTTCTTCATGCAAAGGCTAGGATTCAGCCATATGGAATAATTTCACAGGTTTGGGGCACACCAGATGTTTTCACTTAGCCTATTTTGGCAGAATCACTTTGTAAATAATCAATCATAATTCCATGTTTTTAGAAGCCATACTATTAGTAGGTCTTATCATCCAAAATCTATAAATAAATGAGAACAAGGGTTTCTGTAGAGTCTATGCACATTTCCTCCAGGAAATTCCTAGAGCTACCTTACAGGGCCAAAAGGAGCTTAGAATTAAAAGTTACATTGTTTACATATTATTGCTTGAAAAAACATTGGAAGCAACCACATATCAGAATTGCTATAATAACTAACCCTATATACAATATTTACTTCATTCCAGATACAGTTTTAAATGTGCTACATAACTAATTTCATCCTTAAAGCAAGACTATGAAATAAAATCTATGACTATCCCCAGTTTACGCTTGAGAGATCTAAAGCATTCAAAGGATAAATATATTGTTCAAGATCAAAACCCCAATTAATGATTAGAGTCATTATTAGAAGCCAGAAAATCTGCTTCGAGAGCCTGCATTGTTTACCTTTATGCTGCAATGTTGGAAATTAAAATACTGAGGAATGATAGTAAACAGAAACAGAAAAGTTATCAGCAACAAGACTCACGACTCTAGGAGCAGTTTACACAGTGCAAAAAACCTCTAAGGGTTGCATTGTGTTAGCACACGGGAATAAAAATAACATGGAAATGATAATAGAGGTAACAATAACAGTGGTTTCTTGAGCAACAACTACACATCAGATGCTTTCACAGTGCTTTTTATCTGATTAATCCTCCTAATTCCCAATTTAGGTTAATATCCTGCTTTTGAACCTAGGACTGTCTGACTTCCAAAGACAATATGACTTCTAATAGATAATACTCACCAGTGAAACAATTGCTTTACATTAGGGTGGCTATGGATTTCCAAGAAAAAAGAAAAAAAAAGTTATTTCATACTGTTAACGAAGACAGGATATCCGTAAATGCAGTTTACATATTGTTTTTCTAAAATACTGAAAACCTAATTTAATTTAATTGAACAAGTATTTGCTTGTTGAATTAAGCAACATATACAGACGATCCCTGACTTATGATGGTTCAATTTGAGATTTTTTAACTTTATAATAGTGTGAAAACAATACACATTTAGTAGAAATCGTACTTCAAATTTTGATTTTTTTTTTTCTGGGCTAACAATATATGGTATGAAACTCTCTCTGAATCTCCTACACAGCCATGAAATCTCAAGGGTAAAAAACCAATGCTCTACAGTAAGCTGTGTTGCCAGATTATTTTGCCAAACTGCCGTCTAATATAAGTGTTCTGAGCATGTTTAAAGCAAACTGGGCTAAACTATGATGTTCAGCAGGTTAAGTGTATTACATGCATTTGTAACTCAGGATATTTTCAACTTACAACAGATTTATAGGGACATAACCCAATAGAAAACTGAGGATCATCTGTAGTTAAGGCACCAAATTAGATAGTTTAGGGGGAACAAAAAGGAGTAAGCAAAGAGACAAACTGTTTCCACAGATCTTATAGTCTACTGAAGGAGCTAATTGCACAAAAAAATAATGCTGTATGCAAGAAGAGCATACACATTTTTGAAAGAGGTACAAAATGTCATGAAGGTACATCTAGATTTAGGATGACAGAATAAAGAGATTTCTGCATATTTATTTTCTGAGAATCACTCCTAAATAAGAGAAAAAAAATAGAAAATGAAAACACAAACCCCATAATTGATGAAACCAGGATGTTGCTGAAACAACATTTTTATTATATGAAGGTGGAAAGTAGATGGAGGGATTGCAATAGACTCAGCAGTGATAATAAAATCCACACCTTTGTTTCCTGGGTAGAAAATAGTTCCAGAGGTCAGAAGAGAAATTGAGTAGGGTATGGATTAGAAGCTTTCATTTGTACTTTTTCCTTTGTCCTGCAAATTCTAGGGATGAGCCTGAGCTCAAGCATATGGAATAATGTATTTTAGACATATTAAAATGTGTGGAATGACTTAATATTAAGTAAAAAGAAAACTAATTAAATGAAATGCCATTATATACTCTTTGAGTCAACAGTAAATATTTCTTAGTTGTAAATATATATATATGACTTTTGTATTGAACTCAATCCACACATTTTGTGACTTTCTTGTGTAGCCAAGGAGTAAGAAGAGAAACAAACAGAAATTGAGGATTAGCCAGAATGTGGTCTAAAATTGTGTGGCTTCAATGACTCATTTAATGTGCAAACTTTTGCTGTTGTGCATAATTTTTAAATTATTATCCTTGTTTTTTACAGTTTGGATGCAGTATATAAATTGAATATAATTATTTTTTATTAACATTCTCTTGTTATATTCTTTAATGTATTTTGAATATTTTCTTATATGATTAAATGCTATTGTGATATATTAAAGTATAATTTACATACAAAGATACACAGATCTTACATGTTTTGAATACTGACAATTGTATACACCATGTAACCATCTTCCACAAGAAGTTACAGAATAGTTGTATTGCCCCAGAAAGTTAACTCTTGTCCCTTTTCACATCTACCACCTCATCTCCAACTGGGTCACTATTTTTTTATCTTTATGACCATAGGTCAGCTATGCTTGTTCTTGTATTTCACATTAATGGAATCAGACAGTGCAAACTCTTGAGGCTGGCATCTTTTACTCAGCATCAGGTTTCTAACTGTCAATATATAGTGTGTTTCTGTAGGTTGTTCCTTTCAGTTGATGAGTGGTATACTTTTATATGACTATGCCCCAGTCTGTTTATCCACATCTTTTTTGGACTTATGCACATAATTCATTTTTATATATTATTTTATTTCCCTTTAAGAGCAAAGAGCATTAGCATTATTGTGTATCCCAGCACCTAACCCTTCACGTTTACTTCCATATTAATGGCTACTGTATTTTCTTTTTCTAGAGTATAAAAATATGACTAATTAGGAAGTTTCTGAATTTGTTGTTAAAAATATCAAAATAAACTCTGTGCTATACATTTAGTTAAATCAACAAATAAAATCCAATCTCTGCTAGAAATACCTATAAACCAAACATTACATTATAATCTCCTGTATTAAAATGCATTTTGTTTTGTTTGGAAACTTGACTTTAAAATATATACCAAAATAAACCAGTGTATTTTTTTTACTTAAAAAAATTAAAATTATTATCCAATAAAATTTATTTTATTTTTCTTTTAGTGCACATTTCTATAAATTTTAAGACATATATAGATCTATGGAACTGCCACCACCATCAGAATATGGACACTTCCATCCTTCAAAAAACAAAACTACCTTATGCTCTTACTTCATGATCAAACTCTATCCCCAACTCTAACCAATGGACACCACTGATCTGTTCTTCAGCACTCTAATTTTGTCATTTCAAATCTGTCATATAAATGGAGTCATGCAATATGTAACCTTTGAAGACTGGTTTCTTTTACTCAGCCCCTTTGATATTCATCCAAATTGTTCTGTGTATCAGTGGTTAACTACTTTTTATTGCTGTATAGTATTCCATTGTGTGAATATAATCCAGCTTATCCATTAAGTGGTTATAGGACATTTCAGTTGTTTCAGATTTTGGCTACTATGAATAATGTTTCTATAAAATGTGCTAGGAAATTGGAATGGCTTTTTAAATTTTCTGATTTTCAGGTTCTTCTATAAAACAGAAAAAATGCTAGTAATCACCTCATAAGACTGAGACAATTATTAGAATGTATGTAAAACATAGTATGTATTCAAAAAATTTTAATAATTACTAATGTAAGAAAAATAAAATGACAATGCAAAATTCCACGGCAAATAAGGTTTTCCTCATATTCTACTTTTGCAGCTGATTAAAAAAATGACAGCTGTAGAACATTCCATTTACTTCTACTTTATATCATTTTATTAATGTTTCTATCAGTCAAAGAATATCAGTTTCCTTATGCTGCAGCATTAATTGCCCTTTCATAAGATGAATTAAGATGAATCGTGTAAAAATTTGAAAAGTATGTTTTTCACACTTTTGATAATATGCTACACAAGGCACAACAGTAGTGAGAAATGTGGGATTGGATGGATGAATTCAAGATAAATTACGAAGAATTAAAATGACTTTGCAACTTTTTGCATGTAAGAGATGACAGTAAAGAAGGAATAAGATGAAGCTTTGGGTTTGAGTCCTGAAGTCAGAAATGAAGGAGGAAGCATATTCAGTTTTAGACATGAAATTATCATGGTAAAATAAGTATAAAGTAATATTTTTAAAACATATATTATCAACTATGAAATAATATTAAAATACTTTGGGGAAAAGTAAATAATAAATGTATATAATAGTATTTAACCACATAAGAAAAAATGTTCTAATGAGGGGTCGAGGGACTCTAGATTTAGCAAATAAAAATATATGATACCCAATAAAATTACAGATTCATATAAATAATATTTTACTATATAAAATACTTTTACTGATATTATATGGGACAAACTTATACTACAAATTATTTATTGTTTCTTAAAATCAAATTTAACAAAATCTTGTATTTAATCTAGAAACCTCTGATGGTTAAAAAATTTGTTGAACTCTGAGTGTCTGCAAGAATTTAAGCAATATCGCTAACAAGTCTAAGATAAAGTAAGAATCAGAAAATAAAGAGAGCAGAAGGGTAAAGAAAAGGCAATAAATTTGTGAAAATAGAAAAGGAAAAAAGACTGAGATAAATAAAGTGATATATTCATTGTAAAGATGCTAGAATATCATTAACCTGGGAAAGGCCTGTATGGGTTCCATTCAACGAATGTTAAGTAGCCATAAGATGGCTAGTATTTGGCTAATTCTCAGCTAGACTTCACAGAGCTGAGGTCCTTGTAGAGAATTGCTTATGATTCAGAGAATTCATATAACAAACTAAATAAATAAATATATACTGTAATTGTCTCTGTTTACCCATGCAGTAAATGTTTTGAGAGGTCAATGAGGAAGATGAAGAAAATGAGCAGCTAAGATGTACCTAAACTCGTACAGTGTATTAGAAAATGAACTACAAATACAGCCTAGGTTCCTGATTGCTACTTTCATTTTTTTTTTTTTAACTTAGACCTTGGTATTTCAGTGATTTATGGAGGTAAAATTCAAAACAGTGTCAAACAAACAAAAAACACAAGGAGAAAGTTTGATATCTCCATCATGTAGACGAGATAGAAAAGGAGCCTCAGAATATAATTTGTAGTGGCAGCATACAAATAGTGTGAGGAAAACCATTGAGCCAGGATAACGACTAACTACAAAGCTATGGCAGAGTATGAATCATCGTTCAATTCAATTTTGTACCAACAGAACTGAGCACATAATCTTGCTCAGTGGGTATTCAATAACCACTCATTGAAAATAAAAATAAGATTTTTTGTTTATGATTGAGATCAAACTTCACCAAATGTTTTATGATACTGTAAATACAATAACTCAATAGAAACCACATAAAAGCTCTGAAAAACAAATTGAAATATATATATTTATTTATTATACATATATATACTGTGTGTGTGTGTGTGTGTGTGTGTGTGTGTGTGTGTGTGTGTGTTTGTGTGTGTGTATGAAAGACATGAAGGACATGAAAGCATCATGATCCTCAGAACATGAGGCTGGACTTTGCCAATTAAACAGGACCCCTGAAGCTATAATGAGAAAACCTATCATTTTGAAACTAAACATATCTAAAACATTTTTTAAACATTTCAATTACAAAATAAGGTGTGCAGATTTTTGAGTCATCAATACATACATTCTTTTTTTTTTTTTTTTTTTTTTTTTTTTTTTTTTTTTTGAGACGGAGTCTCGCTCTGTCGCCCAGGCCGGACTGCGGACTGCAGTGGCGCAATCTCGGCTCACTGCAAGCTCCGCTTCCCGGGTTCACGCCATTCTCCTGCCTCAGCCTCCCGAGTAGCTGGGACTACAGGCGCCCGCCACCGCGCCCGGCTAATTTTTTGTATTTTTAGTAGAGACGGGGTTTCACCTTGTTAGCCAGGATGGTCTCGATCTCCTGACCTCATGATCCACTCGCCTCGGCCTCCCAAAGTGCTGGGATTACAGGCGTGAGCCACCGCGCCCGGCCAATACATACATTCTTTATCGCCTGTTATCTCTTGTTTTATCCCAGAGATACACACAGACTTCTCCAAAATTAGAAGGGTAAAGTTTATTTTGACTGGAAAGGATGGAAGATCCATTTAAAATAATGAGCTACTTAAAATTTTAAGTATGTTTTTATAATGTCTGAAGACAAAGAACGACCTGGAGGCATTTTGAAATCTCATTTGTCTTGGGAGGTAATTCTACTAATGACTTTAAGTCCAAGCTTTATGCAGTGTGTTTTATGTGTGCTTAAGAATCACTTGACCAGACAATTTCCTTAGGACAACAGAGAAAAGACATGGCTGATTGCAACTCAAAACGACATTTAATTATCACCCCTTCCCCTCCACAGTGGACCTAGCAGTATCTTTTCCTGGTTGACTATTTGTTTTGTGAGCATAGAGTGACTAGATGCTATCTCAAAAAAAATAGCTTTTCTTGGTTAGCACTGAATTCTAGTCTATAAGAGGAAAAAAGACTAAAGGTGCCAATTGGAAAATTTCTTGCTTACTGCTTTTGTAATGTTGTATTTGGTTTACTTCAGCAACTAATCCGAAAGAATTTTATTACATAGGAAGTATAAAAAACTTGGATCATTTTTTAAAGGCCTGTAGCTATGGAAGAAACCTAGAAGAATCTTAAGCAAGACTGAGGCAGATGTTGCATTTATAAAAGCTATGAAACTCCCATTTACACAAAAAACATAATGATAATTCCAAAGATCAAATACTGATTGTTTTATTTAACAGAAATAATATATATTTGGTAGTGAAGGCACAGTTTTATCCAGTTACTAAAATGTCTCCTGCTTTGCACACAGGATAAGAAACTACACGTTTTTGGGAATATCATTTGCTATTAGTGTTGTTGATATAGGACAGGTTAGGCAACAAATAACTATCAAGAAACACCACACCTAGCAGAGAACTAATTAATAGTGTGATGCTTTAATACTGGGCAAAGCTATTTGTTAGAAAGAGGTACTGAGTATAGCATTTCTCACGTGGCAGTAAGGGTAATACTACACTGTCAACAACAGATTCAGCAATTAAGAGTTCTTCAATGCCACATAAGAAAATGAGGAACAAAATTAGAATACAATCTTTATTTCTTTTCTTTTTCAACTTTTATTTTGGATTCAGAGAGTATATGTACATATTCTTTTTAAATTTTTGTGTATACAGAGTAGATGTATATACTTATGGGAAACATGAGATGTTCTGTTACAGGCATAAAATTTGAGATAAGCATGTCATGAAAAATGGGATATTCGTCCCCTCAAGAATTTATCTTTTGAGTTATAAACAATCCAATTACACTCTTTGTTTCAAAATGTAAAATTAAGTTATTATTGACTATAGTCACCCTGTTGTGTTATCAAGTAGTAAGTCTTATTTCTTCTATTTTATTTTGTACCCTTAACCATCCCCACCTTTCTGCCAGTGCCCCACTACTCCTCCCAGCCTCGAGTAACCATCTTTCTACTCTCAATGTTTATGAGTTCAATTGTTTAGATTTTCATATATCACAAATAAGTGAGAACATGTGATGTTTGCCTTTCTGTGTGTGTCTGGCTTATTTCATTAACATAATGATCTCCAGTTTCATCCATGTTGTTGCAAATGACTAGATCTCTTCAATGAATTAATAGTACACCATTGTGTATATGTACAACATTTTCTTTATTCATCTGTTGATGGACACTTACTTAGGTTGCTTCCAAATCTTAGCTATTGTAAACAGTTCTGCAACAAATATAAAAGTACAGATATCCCTTTGATATACTGATTTCCTTTTTTGGGGGTATATACTCAGCCATGGGATTACTGGATCATATGGTAGCTGTATTTTTAGGTTTTTGAGAAACTTCCAAAATATTTTCTATAGTGGTTGTACTAATTTACGTTTCTACCAACAGTGTATGAGGGTCCCTTTTCTCCATATCTTTGCCACCATTTGTTATTGACTGACTTTTGGATAAAAGGTGAGATGATATCTCATTGTAATTTTGATTTGCATCTCACTGATGATCCATGATATTGAACACCTTTTTATATACCTGTTTACCATTCGTATGTCTCCTTTTGAGAAATGTCTATTTAAATCTTTTGCCCGTTTTTGATGAGATTATTAGATTTTTTTCCCATAAAGTTGTATAAGCTCATTATGTATTCTGGTTATTAATCCCCTGTTGGATGGTGATATGGTTTGGATTTGTGTCCCCACCAAAATCTCATGTCAAATTGGAGGAAGAACCTGGTGGCAGGTAATTGGTTCATGGTGGCAAATTGTGATAATGAGTGAGTTCCCACAAGATCTGATGGTTTAAAAGTGTATGGCACTTCCACTTTCATTGTCTCTTTCTCTCCTGCCTCCATGTGAAGAAGCTGCTTGCTTCTTCTTCGCCTTCCTTTGTGATTGTAGGTTTCTGGAGGCTTCCCACTCATGCATCCTGTTAAGCCTGCAGAACCGTGAGTCAACTAAACCTCTTTTTTTCATATATTACCTAGTCCAAGTTAGTTCTTTATAGCACTGTGAAAATGGACTATTACAGAAAATTGGTACCAGAAGAGTAGGGCACTGCTATATACATGCCTGAAAATGTGGAAGTAACTTTGGAACTGGGTAACAGGCAGAGGTTGGAACAGTTTGGAGTGTTCAGAAGAAGACAGAAAGATGTGGGAAAGTTTGGAACTTTTTAGAGATTTGCTAAATGGTTTTTACCAAAATGCGGATAGTGATATGGACAATGAAGTACAGGCTGAATTGGTATCAGATGGAGATGAGAAACTTATTGGGAACTGGAGTAAAAGTGACTCTTGCTATACTTTAGAAAAGAGACTGGTAGAATTTTGTCCCTGCCCTAGAGATCTGTGGAACTTTGAACTTTATAGAGATGATTTTGGGTATCTGGTGGAAGAAATTTCTAAGCAGCAAAGCATTCAAGACATGACCTGGCTGTTTCTAAAAGTGTACACTCATATGCATGAACAGAGATTATCTGAAACTGGAATTTATGTTTAAAAGGGAAGCAGAACATTAAAGCTTGGAAAATTTGCAGCTCAGCCATGTGGTAGAAAAGAAAACCCATTTTCTGGGGAGAAATTCAAGCCTGCTGCAGAAATTTGCAAAAGCAAGTAGGAGCTGAATGTTAATAGCCAAGACAATGGGGAAAATGTCTCCAGGGCATTTCAGAGACCTTCACAGCATCCCCTCTCATCATAGGCCTGGAGACCTAGAAGGAAAAAAGGGATTAATGGGCCTGGTACAGGGCCCAGCCTCTCTGTGCAGCCTTGAGACATGGCATCCTGTGTCCAAGCTACTCCAGCTCCAGTGGCAGCTAAAAGAGGCCAAGGTACATCTCGGGCCATGGCTTCAGAGGGTTCAAGCTCCAAGTCTTGGAGGCTTCCATGTGGTATTGGCCCTGCAGGTGTGCAGAAGGCAAGAGTTGGGGTTTGGGAACCTCCACCTAGATTTCAGAGGATATATGGAGACACCTGAATGTCCAGGCAGAAGTCTGCTGCAGGGGCAGATTCCTCATGGAGAACCTCTACTAGGGCAGTGTGGAGGAGAAATGTGGGATTGGAATCCACACACAGAGTCCCAATTGAGACACTATCTAGTGGAGCTGTGAGAAGAGGGACACCATCCTCCAGGTTCCCGAATGGTAGACACACCAACAGCTAGTACCGTGTGCCTCAAAAAGTCACAGGAACTCAACACCAGGCTGTGAAAGCAGCCACAGGGGCTGTACCCTGAAAAGCTACAGCGCCAGAGCTGCCCAAGGTCTTGGGAGCCCACCCCTTACATCAGTGTGGCCTGAATGTGAGACATGGAATCAAAGGAGATCATTTTGGAGCTTTAAGATTTAATGACTGCCCTGCTGGGTTTCAGACTTGAATGGGGCCTGTATCTCCTTTGTTTTGGCCAATTTCTTTTTTGGAATAAAAGCATTTGCCCAATGCCTCAACCCCTGTTGTATCTTGGAAGTAAGTAACTTGTTTTTGATTTTACAGGCTCATAGGCAGAGGGAAATCACCTTGTCTCAGATAAGACTTTGGACTGTGGACTTTTAATTTAACGCTTAAATGAGTTAAAACTGGGGTACTGTTAAGAAGGAATAATTGTATTTTGCAATTGGAGAAGGATATGAAATTTGGGAGGGGCTTGGGCAGAATGACGTGGTTTGAATTTGTGTCCCCACCTAAATCTCATGTTCAATTGGAGAAGGGGTCTGATGGGAGTAAATTGGATCATGGAGATGGATTTTCCCTTTGCTGTTCTCATGATAGTGAGTGAATTCTTATGACACCTGATTGTTCATAACTGTGTGGCACTTCCTGCTTCTCTCTCTCTCTCTCTCTCCTGCTGCCATGTGAAGAAGCTGCTTGCTTCCCCTTCACCTTCTGCCATAATTGTCAATTTCCTGAGGCCTCCCAGTCATGCTTCCTGTTAAGCCTGCAGTTTTGTGAGTAAATTAAACCTCTTTTCTTCATAAATTACCCAGTCTCAGATAGTTCTTTATAGCAGTGTGAAAATGGATTAATACAGATGGGTAGTTTTCAAATGTTTTCTCCCATTATCTGGGTTGTCTCTTCACTTTGTTATTGTTTCTTTTGCTTGCAGAAGTTTCTTAGCTTGATGTGACGCCAGTTGTCTATTTTTGCTTTGGTTGCTTGTGCTTGTGGGGTATTGCTCAATAAATTCTTTGCTCACACCAATGTCATAGAAAGTTTCTCCAATGTTTTCTTTTAGCAGTTACATAGCTCAAGGTCATAGATTTAAGTAATTAATCCATTTAGATTTGATTTTTGTTTATGGCAAGAGATAGGGTTCTAGTTTTATTCTTCTTCATATGGATATGCAGTTTTCCTGGCACCATTTGTTGAAGAGACTGTCTTTTCACCAGTGTATGTGCTTGGCACCTTTGTTTAAAATGAGTTCAGTGAAGATGTGCATATTTGTTCCTGGGCTCCCCACTCCATTTCGTGGGTCTGTGAGTCTTTTTTTACACCATTATCATGATATTTGGTAGCTCTATAGTATAATTTGAAGTCAAATAATGTGATTCCTCCAGTTTTTGTTTTGTTTTGCTTTGTTTACATAGAACTGTTTTGGCTATTCTGGGTCTTTGGTGGTCTCACATGAATTTTAAGATTTTTTTTCTATTTCTGTGACGAATGTCATTGGTATTTTGATAGAGATTGCACTGAGTCTGTATATTGCTTTTGTTAGTATAGACATTTTAACAATATTGATTCTATCAATCCATGAACATGGAATATTTTTCCAATTTCTGATGTCTTTTTCAACTTTTTTCATCTGTGTTTTATAGTTTTTATTACAGAGAACTTTCACTTCCTTGATTAAGTTAATTCCTATGTATTTAATTTTATGTGTGGCTATTGTAAATGGGAGTACTTTTTATTTCTTTTTCACTTTTCACTGTTGGCATATAGAAAAGCTACTGATTTTTGTACCTTCATTTTATATCTTACAAATTTACTGAATGTATCAGTTCTAATAGTTTTCTTCTGTAGTCTTTAGATTTTTCCAAACATACAATCATCATCTGCAAACAAGAATAATTTGACTTCTTCCTTTCTAATTTGGAAGACTTTTATATCTTTCTTTTTTTGATGGTTCTAGCTAGGACTTCCATCACTGTACTGAGTAACAATTGTGAAACTGTTCATCCTTGTTGTGGTCCATAACTTAGAGGAAAGGCTTTCATTTTTCCCCATTTTGTATAATACTACCTATGGATCCCACATAAATGGCTTTTAATATGTTGAGGTATGTTCCATCTGTAACCAGTTTTCTTAGAATTTTTATGATGAAAAGATGTTGAATTTTATTAAATGCTCTTTCAGCATCAATTGAAAGAATCATATGGCTTTTGTCCTTCATTCTGTTGATATAATGTATCACATTGATTGATTTGCCTATGTTGAACCACCATTGTATCCCAGGAATAAATCTCACTTGGTCATGATGAATGATCTTTCTGAATTCTTCATAAATTTTGTTTGTCAGTATTTTTTTGAAGATTTTTTGCATCAATATTTGTCAGAGATATTGGCCTGTAGTTTTCTTTTTTGAAAGTGTCTTTGTCTGGTTTTGGTATCAGGGTAATACTGACCCCTTATAATGAGTTTAGAAGTATTCCTTCCTTCCATATTTTCCAAAATAGTTTGAGTAGGATTGCTGTAAGTACTTATTTATATGTTTGGTAGAATACTGCAGTGACACCATAAGGTCCCAGGCTTTTCTTTACTGAAAGTGTTTTTATTATGGCTTTGATCTCATTACTTGTTATTAGTCTGTTCTGGTTTTGGACTTTTCCTGTTTCAATCTTGGTAGGTTGTATGTGTCTAGGAATTTGTTCATTTCTTTTAGATTTTCCAATTTATTGGCATATAGTTGCTCATAGTACCCACTCATAATCCTTTGAATTTCTGCAGTATCAGTTATAATTTCCCCTTTTTCATTTCTTATTTTATTTGGATTCTCCCTTTTTTTTCTTAGTTAGTATGGCTAGAGATTTGTCTCTTTGTTTAACTTTTCAATAAACCACCTTTTTGTTTCATTATCTCTTGTATTGTTTTCTTCATTCCAATTTCCTTTATTTCTGTTCCGATCTTTATTTTTTCTTTTCTTTTACTAATTTTAGGTTTGGTTTGCTGTTGCTTTCCTAGTTCTTTAAGATGTGTCATTAGATTGTGTATTTGAAGTCTTTCCTCTTTTTTGATGTAGGCACTTATGGGTAAGAAGTTTTCTCTTATTACTACTTTCACTGTATCCCATAGGTCTTTGTATGTTGTGTCTCCATTGTCATTGGTTTCAAGACATTTATTGCTCATTAATGTACTTTTCTTTCTGATTGAAGTACTCTCTTTAGCATTTCTTGTAGTACAAGTCTGGTGTTGGTGAAATCTCTCAGCTTTTGTTTGTCTGGGAAAGTATTTCTCCTCCATGTTTGAAGGATATTTTTGCTGGGTATATTATTCTAGGGTAAGAGGTTTTTGATTTTTAGCACTTTAAATTTGTCATGGCACACTCTCCTTGTCTGTAAGTTTTTCATTGAAAAGTCTGATGCCAGAATTATTAAAGTTTCATTGTATGTTATTTGCTTCTTTTCTCTTGCTGTTTTTAGGATCCTTTTATTTTATCTTTAATCTTTGGAAGTTAGATTATTAAAAACCTTTATGTAGTCTTCTTTTGGTTAAATTTGCTTGGTGTTTTATAAGCTTCCTGTACTTAGATTTTGATATCTTTTCTTGCTGTGGGAAGTTCTATGTTATTTTTCTCTTGAATAAACATTTTACCCGTCTCTTTCTCTACCTCTTCTTTAAACCCAATAACTCTTAAATTTGCCCATTTGAGGCTATTTTCTAGATTCTGAATAGCATACTTCATAGTTTTTTATTATTTTCTCTTTTATCTCCTCAGGTCTTGTGTTCTCAAATTGCTTGTCTTCAAGCTCACTAATTCTTTCTTCTTCTTGATCAATTCTGCTATTAAAAAGTTCTGATGCATTCTTCAGTATGCCAATTGCATTTTTCAGTTTCAGAATTTGTGTTTCATTTTAATTATTCTTCTTTTTGTTAAATGTATCTTATAGAATTCTGAATTTCTTCTCTGTGATATTTTGAATTTATTTCAGTTTCCTCAACACAGCTATTTTGAATTCTCTGTCTGAAAAGTCACACATCTCCTTTTCTACAGGATTGGTTCCTAGTGCCTTATTTAGTTAATTAGTTGAGGTCATACTTTCCTGGATGCTGTTGATGCTAGTAGATGCTTTTTGGTGTCTGGTTTTTGAAGAGTTAGGTATTTATTTAGTCTTTACTCTCTGGGCTTGTTTGTACTCCTCCTGGGGAAGGCTTTCCAGATACTTGGTAGGACTTGTGTGCTATGATCCAAGCTTTATCAGCTTTAGAGGACACCCTAAGCCCAGTAACATTGTGGTTTTTGCAGATTTGTAGAGGTACTGCCTTGATGGTCTTGGGAAGATCTGGGAGAATTCTCTGGTTTACAAGAAAGAGACTCTTGCTTCCTTCCCTTACTTTCTCTCAAACAGTCTCTATCATTGTTCTGATCCACATAAAGCTGGTGGAAGAGTGACACAAGTGCACCTGTGGCCACAACTACTATGACTACTCTGAGTTAAACCTGAAGCCAGTACAGCAGTGAGTCTCTCCCAAGGCCTGCAGTAAGTACTCCCTAGCTACTGTCTATATGCTCTCAAGTCCCAGGGGCCCTACAATCAGCCAATGGCAAAGCTAGCTAGGTCTGTGTCATTCCTTTCAGTGTAGTGAGTTTCCCCTGGCTCTGTGTGGGTCCACAGGTGACACTGGGGAGTCAGGGACTAGAGCCAAAAACATTAGAAGTCTGCCTCGTGTTCTATTGTACTGCAGCTGAGCTGGCACTCAAAAGACAAAACATATTTCTTCTCACTCTTCCATCCCCTTTTCAGAGGCAGAGGAGTCTCACTCCATAGCCACTGCCACCCTAAACCATGAGGGGTATTGCCAGACTACTGCTAATGTTCTCTTAAGGCCTAAGGTATCTTAAGTCGACTAGTAGTGAATGCTGCCTAGCCTGGGAGTCACTATTCAGGGCAGTGGCCACCTCTCTGGCCCAGGGCATGTGCAGAAAAGCCATCTAAGAGTCAAATTCTGGAATTGGGACCCCAAGAGCCTAATTAGTGCTCTACTCCCCTGTGGCCGCACTAGCTCTTAAGCTGCAAGAAAGTGTCATCTTTACTTTTCTCTCAGCTTTTTTCAAGCAGAAGGAGTTTTGCCCTCTAGCCACCACATTTGGTAATGTGCTGAGTCTAACATGATGCCAGCAAATCTCAGAGGCTCACCCAAGGCCCAAGATGTAATATCGCTGCTGGTTATTCAGAGCCCAAGGGCTCTTCAGTTAACAGGCTATGAATGCTGCCAGGGCTGGGTTCTTTCTTTAAAGGCAGCAGGTTTCCTTCTGTTCCAGGGTGTGTCTAAAAATGTCTGGGAACAAGGGCCCAGAATGGGGGCCTCTTGATTCTGACCAATGCCCTGTTCTGCTGTGGCTGAGCTGGTATCCTAGATCCCCGCTGCCCCCCAAAAAAACGTCTTTCCCATTTTTCCCTTTCCTCTATTCGAGCTGAAAGAAGGGATCATTGTTGGAGCTGCAAGCTGTGTAGCCTGGGGTTAGGGGAGGGCCTAATACCGGCACTCCCTCAGCTGCCCCAGCTGGTGCCTCAGTAAGTCACATGTTCCTCCAATTCCACTGTCTCTGGACCTAGGTCAGCACAAGGACTTGCCATAGTTGCAGTCCTTATGGCTTAGACTGCTTTTCAAGTTCACTTGGAGACACAGAACACTGTAGCCCTTGGTGGCAGGGTTGGCCAAGTTTTGACTGCTGGCATCTGCAATTTCCCTTTAGCTAGGGTTGGTTTAAATGCTTCCTCAGTGGGCAGCTGTCAGCTGACTTTGGTCTGGTTTTCCTTTCTGCTCTAACACAGAGCACTAAGTTCAATGTCTCACAATTGTTGTGCTCTCCCTCCTCCAGCACCCAGAGAAGTTCTGAGCACCACACCACTGCTCCATGGGGTTGGGGGAGGAGTGGTGTCAGTCATTCAGGACTGTATTTTCTATCTCTTTATTGCCTCTTTCAGTGATAGGAAGTTAAAACCAGATACCATGAGGGCTCACATGAAATTTGGTTCTTTTGAAGGTGTTTTTCCTATGTAGATAGTTGTTAAATTGGTGTCCTTCTGGGAGACTATAGATGGAGACTTTGATTTTGCCATCTTGCTCCACCTACCCTTCAGAATGCAATGCTTAAATGTGTGTATTTGAAGTTTGCCAGGTGTCAAATCCCAGCCTCTCTACTTACCAGCTGCATTAGCTTGGGCTTCTCATTCTCTGGACTTTTTTTTAACCTATAAAATGGAGATAATTGGAATCTACTCCACAGATCCATAGTGAGGATTAAGTGAAATAATGCATGTGAAGTGCTCAGTACTGTCAGCTTCAATTCTTGTTAACTATTATAAATAGTAATGCTATTATTATTAGACACTTTTTAGACACACGCCATGCTAGTGTTTTACATTCCTTATCTTGTTTTAACACTGACAAGGACCTTGCCAGGGCAATATGATAATTCATTTTGACAATTAGTCCCTTTGTTTGCAAGCAAAAAGAAATTGACTTTGAATAACTCAAGCAATAGAAAAATCTATCTATCTATCTATCTATCTATCTATCTATCTATCTATCTGTCTATCTATCTATCTTCCTATGTGAATGATGTATAGTCCTCAGACTCAAAAGAAGAGCTGAATTACTAGACACAAAAAGGGCAATTCTGGTGATCTACATAGCAGGTATACTATGCTGCTTCTGCTGGGATGAATTAAATCTAACTATTTTTATTATTCCTTTTTCACTCTGCTCAAGGGAGGCTCTAATTGTTTAAGCTTGGATTTTTTTGTTTGTTTGTTTCTGAGATAAGAGTCTCACTCTGTCACCCAGGCTGGAGTGCAGTGGTGCTGTCATGGCTCATTGTAGCCTTGACCTTCTGGGCTCAGGTGATCATCCTGCCTCAGCCTCCAGTGTAGCTGGGACCACAGGCATGTGCCACCACACACAACTCATTTTCTTCCTGTAGAGATGGTAGTCTCACTTTGTTGCCAAGGCTGCTCTTAAACTCCTAGACTCAGCCTCAGAAAGTGTTGATATTATAGGCGTCAGCCAACATCCTTGGCCAAGCTTGGAATGTTTTTACCACAAAGTAGCTAAAAAAAGAATGGAAAATCTGACTCACTATCCCTTAAAGACTGAGAGGTAAAAGAAATCCTATAAAAGGAAATAAAGGTACTATTACTTGAAGAAGACAAAGAATGATGGATAGCCAAAACCAGAAATACTCTCAGTATAACACCTCTTTATTCTGGAATTCAAAGGACTCCTTTTGTGATTTCAGTTTTCAAGGTGTGGGAAAAGGAATGAAGGAAGATGACCCAATGATTATGTGGAAGTCCAGGCTAGTCAGTATTTCTGGTGATATGTAAAAAGCATTGTGAGAAACTTCTCTTGGGAATTCATTTTCTGAAATTCCTTATGAATTTCTGTAACATTTTCTCTGGAAGATAAAGAACTATCATCACTAGCAAAGACTTTATAAATTTGCCATTATGTTGCATACATGGAAATACTGGTGCTACAGTCTCCTCACAACATCTTAGTTTGTGCAGCCAGTAATCTTGATAAGATGTATTTTGTATAAAAATTACAGATGAAGTTTCTTGTCCATTTAAGCATTAATTTCTCTACTGATCTCAAACAGAATATAATTGTTCTTGTAACTAATCATGAACCTAACACACTTACCAAATTACTGTAAATCTGAAATACCTCCCAAAATCACTAGTGATAGCAATAGTAATAGAAATTGTCCAATGACACAAACACCTTATGTTTTTAAAACTGTTGAAGGTATTAATTTATAAATATTAGTATATTATAGATAGAATGATATATATGGAAACTTGGGAAGTAAAATTCTTTTACAGAAATTATTTTAGTTATTTCTCTTTTCTCTAGCAAGCAAAATTTTTCTTACTGAACAACTGTTTTCAAGTTTAGTCATTTGCTTGAAATATCACACCCTCATTTTGACAGTAAAAAAATGATGAGAAACTGCTTTTAAATACCTATCTCCTTTTTTTCTTTTTTGGTGTAATAATTGAAGGATGTTTTCTTCCTAAGTTATATTCTTTGACTGTTGAAACATTTTGAAGTATCAATTTTGATTCTTGGGTTTGCTTATTGCTTGGTATTTCATTGCAGTCTTTTAGAATATGTTGCATGTCAATTACAAGAGTCAAACTAAAATATTTGAAGAGATTTATTCTGAGACAAATATGAGTGATCATGGCCCATGATACAGCCCTCAGGAGGTCCTGAGAACATGTACCCAAGGTGGTTGAGGCACTGCTTGGTTTTATACATTTTAGGGAGGCATGAGCCATCAATCAAATACATTTGAAAAATACATTGCTTTGGTCCAGAAAGGTGGGACAATTCAAAACAGGGGGCTTCCAGGCTATAGGTAAATTTAAAAATTTTTTGTTGACAATTGGTTGAGTTTGTTTAAAGACCTGGGATGAATAGAAAGGAAATGTTAAGGTTAAGATAAAAGATTGTGTAGATCAAGTTTCTTTTGAAGTCTCAGAGTGGCTGCTCTTAGAGACAGTAGATGACAAGTGTTTCTTATTCAGACCTTTAAAAGGTGCTAGACTCTCAGCTAATCTCTTCAGGATTGGGAGGGCCTGGAATAAAAAATTCTAACTATGAATTAGAGATTCTTTACAGGTGTAAATGTTCTCCCACAAAGGACTGCTTTGCAGGGCCATTTCAAAATATGGCAAAGAAACATGTTTTGGGGTAAAATATTTTTATTTCCTTTTTTGTCATATAATGTTATGCCAATCAGATTGGAAAGTAAGTCACGACATATAGGGTCAAATAAAACCCATATCATGAGAGTTTATGGTTTGTACAGCATGACTCCCAGGCGCTTTAGATGGGAATTTGGGCAAGATAAAAAAAAGCAGAGCTTAGTCCTCAGTGGTACCCATTTGACATTTATGACACCAGTGCAGTATAAAGTTTTATGACACAATTTAGTTCTAACACACTCTAACACTACTGTAACTGTGTATGTTGCATCTGCTTGGAAAGAAAAGGAAGAAATCTTTATTCATCTTTGAGGAGGGGAGAAGTTACTCTAAAGGAAAGTTTCATTTTTTTTTTTTTTTTTTTTTTGAGATGGAGTCTCCCTGTCGCCCAGGCTGGAGTGGTGCAGTGGCGCAATCTCGGCTCACTGCTGGCTCCGCCCCCCCGTTGTTCACGCCATTCTCCTGCCTCAGCCTCCCAAGTAGCTGGGACTTCAGGCACCCGCCACCTCGCCCGGCTAATTTTTTTGTATTTTTAGTAGAGAAGGGGTTTCACCGTGTTAGCCAGGATGGTCTCAATCTCCTGACCTCATGATCTGCCCGCCTTGGCCTCCCAAAGTGCTGGGATTACAGGTGTGAGCCACTGCACCCAGCCGAGTTTCATTATTTTGATAGTACTTACCCAAAATTGTCATAAAGGAGAAATGATTTTTTACAGCTTTAAATCAGATATAGATATTTCAATTTAAAGTGCTCTATTTATAGAAGCACTAGACCAAAAAAATATTTTTTAAATGGTAGGATGATAGATGGCCTACTTGTCAATGTGCCTGCTGCTAAAGTCCTAGTGAGGCAGGAAAATAGGGTATGAAGGCAGGGAACATAAGGCCAATTCACTCTTCAGCTATGACAGGAAATATCCTCCTCATAGGCATAGGCCAAGTAAGTGACTTTGTAACTTTGCTTCATCCTCTCCATTTACATAGGGCATACTTGAAGTAACCAGTGGAATCTGCTAGAGGGTATTTCAACTCCCAAAAATTCTGTAATGAGGCCCTTGAGCCCCTATGTGCAGGTCTGCTCCCACACCGTGGAGTGTACTTTCATTTTCAATAAATCCCTTCATTTTTCCTTGCATTGTTTGTGTGTTTTATCCGATCCTTTGTTCAATATGCCAAGAACCTGGACACTGTCCACCAGTGAAATATTTTGGCAAGCTAGCCAGGAGGAAAAGGTAAGCCCAAAGTTTGGGATTCATTTTTCTCCCTTTCCTTTCTGCTTCATACAGGGGAATCTGTTACTACTTTCCTTTCCATCTCAGGACCATTGGTGGGCAGCGCCTAAACTCAGCAGCAACTGCAGGTTTCTGTCTGTGGCCAGGGAAACTAAGTGGTTTCCATCTGGAAGAAGCTAACTGCCACCACTAAATTCGCTTAAAGGAGCTGGGACTTTTTCCAGTTTTTTTTTTTTTTTTTTCCTTTCTTTTTCAGTCTTTCAGTGGCTGTTTCTTAGTGGCTCCTTGGAAATTGAGGGCAACTGGCTGGGGTCACTCCCTGGTATTGCCCGAAGGCCTGTAAATGAATAGGAATAATTGCCCTAGACTGTTTTTAAAATTCTTTTCTGGCTGTGGTCCCTGATCTCTGTGTGCTGTGCACCCCGGAGAAAACTTGCATATGTTTCAGGTGACTTAAACCTTCTGTACTTATGCTAAATTCTTCCCTTCCCCTATTCAACTGACTAAGGGCAAAGGAAACCCACCCAGTCCCCAGTTCCTGTCATTAAAGTTCATGGAACAGGAGGTCTGGGAAAGCATGGCCTTATCAAATTATAAGGATGCTAAAACTTGGGGATTACACCCAGGTACCAAAGGAAAGCTCATAGTAGGTTTCATGCGCGTCCGTGTGAAGAGACCACCAAACAGGCTTTGTGTGAGCAACATGGCTGTTTATTTCACCTGCGTGCAGGTGGGCTGAGTCCGAAAAGAGAGTCAGCAAAGGGAGATAGGGGTGGGGCCGTTTTATAGGATTTGGGTAGGTAAAGGAAAATTACAGTCAAAGGGGGTTTGTTCTCTGGTGGGCCGGAGTGGGGGTCGCAAGGTGCTCAGTGGGGGTGCTTTTTGAGCCAGGATGAGCCAGGAGAAGGAATTTCACAAGGTAACGTCATCAGTTAAGGCAAGGACTGGCATTTACACTTCTGTTGTGGTGGAATGTCATCAGTTAAGGTGGGGCAGGGCATATTCACTTCTTTTGTGATTCTTCAGTTACTTCAGGCCATCTGGGCTTATACGTGCAAGTCACAGGGGATGCGATGGCTTGACTTGGGCTCAGAGGCCTGACATTTCTGCCTTCTTATATTAATAAGAGAAATAAAACAAAATAGTGTTGAAGTGTTGGGGCGGCGAAAATTTTTGGGGGGTGGTATGGAGAGAGAGTGGACGATGTTTCTCAGGGCTGCTTCGAGCGGGATTAGGGGCGGTGTGGGAACCTAGAGTGGGAGAGATTAAGCTGAAAGGAGATCTTGTGGTAAGGGGTGATATCGTGGGGATGTTAGAAGAAACATTTGTTGTATAGAATGATTGGTGATGGCCTGGATACGGTTTTGTATGAATTGAAAAACTAAATGGAATAACAGAAGGAGAAAAACAGGTATAGTGCCTGAGGAGATTCAGCATAGTCCTACCAGTAAAGATTATTTATTTACTTCAAGAGTTTAGAGTGGCAGTTTGGGGATAGCACCAGGAGATATCAGCTGTGATGGCTTGGAGAAACAGTGTAAACCGGCAGTGTAAACAAGAGCAGGGCATGTATGAGTAGTTGAGAACGGTGAATAGGAGTATGACTAGACAAAAGATGGTAGGGATGACAAGTTTTTTTGGGGCACAGTCTAAGTTGGTCTGGTGTTGAATGAGACTGGGGCCTAATAAAAAGGAACGTCTATACAGGAGCTTAAATTGGCTGTACCTTGTAGCATTCTGAGGACAGGCCTGAATTCTGAAGAAAATAGATTTTGGAAGTTATGGGAAATGTAGAGAGTGAGTTGAGCATAGTTTGTGATTTTTAGGGCCTCTAACAGTATTAAAGCAGTGGCAGCCGCTGCACGCAGACATGAGGGCTAGGCTAAAACAGTAAGGTCAAGTTGTTTGGACAGAAAGGCTACACAGTGTGGTCCTGGCTCTTGTGTAAGAATTCTGACCACACTAACCATGCCTAGGAAGGAAAGCAGTTATTCTTTTGTAAGGGATTGAGGTTTGGGAGATTAATCGGACACGATCAGCAGGGAGAGCACGTGTGTTTTTATGAGAATTATGCCGAATAGGTAACAGATGAGGATGAAATTTGGGCTTGACTGAAGTAATGGGGGCTGTCTGTGAAGCCTTGCGTCAGTACAGCCCAGGTAATTTGCTGAGCCTAATGGGTGTCAGGGTCAGTCTAAGTGAAGACAAAGAGAGGCTGGGATGAAGGGTGCAAAGGAATAGTAAAGAAAGCAGGTTTGAGATCCAGAACAGAATAATGGGTAGTAGAGGGAGCTATTGAGGATAGGAGAGTATATGGGTTTGGCACCATGGGGTGGATAGGCAAAACAATTTGGTTGATAAAGCGCAGATTCTGAACTAACTTGTAAGGCTTGTCTGGTTTTAGGACAGGTAAAATGGGGGAATGGCAAAGAGAGTTTATAGGTTTTAGAAGCCCATGCTGTAGCAGGTGAGTGATAACAGGCTTTAATCCTTTTAAAGCATGCTGTGGGATGGGATATTGGTGTTGAGCGGCGTAAGGGTGATTAGGTTTTAATGAGATGGTAAGGGGTGCGTGATCGGTCGCCAAGGAGGGAGTAGAGGTATCTTATACTTCTGGGTTAAGGTGGGGGAATACAAGAGGAGGACGCAAAGGAGGCTTTGGATTGGGAAGAAGGGCAGCAATGAGATGCGGCTATAGTGCAGGAATAGTCAGGGAAGCAGATAATTTGGTTAAAATATCTCAGCCTAATAAGGGAACTGGGCAGATGGGGATAACTAAAAAAGAGTGCATAAAAGAGTATTGTCTAAGTTGGCGCCAGAGTTGGGGAGTTTTAAGAGGTTTAGAAGCCTGGCTGTCAATACCCACAACAGTTATGGAGGCAAGGGAAACAGGCCCTTGAAAAGAAGGTAATGTGGAGTGGGTAGCCTCTGTATTGATTAAGAAGGGGACAGACTTACCCTCCACTGTGAAAGTTACCTAAAGCTCGGCGTCCGTGATGGTCTAGGGGGCTTCCGAGGCAATCGAGCAGTGTCAGTCTTCAGCTGCTAAGCCGAGAAGATCTGGGAAGGAGTCAGTCAGAGAGCCTTGGGCCAGAGTTCCAGGGGCTCTGGGAGTGGCTGCCAGGTGAGTTGAACAGTCCGATTTTCAGTGGGGTCCCACACAGATGGGATGCAGCTTAGGAGGAATCCTGGGCTGCAGGCATTCCTTGGCCCAGTGGCCAGATTTCTGGCACGTGTAGCAAGCTCCTAGGGGAGGAGGTTCTGGAGGAATGCCTGGCCACTGCAGTTCAGGCATTTGGAAGTTCTTGTGTGCTGGAGATGTGGCTGGGGTTTGTCTCACAGTGGAGGCAAGGAGTTGCAACTTTTTTATGTTATTGCACACCTTGAAGGTGAGGTTAATTAAGTCCTGTTGTGGGGTTTGAGGGCCAGATTCCAGTTTTTGGAGTTTTATTTAATGTCGGGAGCAGATTGAGTAATAAAATGTATATTGAGAATAAGATGGCCTTTTGACCTTTTAGGGTCTAGGGCTGTAAAGTGTCTCAGGGTTGCTGCCGAACGAGCCATGAACTGGGCTGGATTTTTATATTTGATGAAAAAGAGCCTAAACGCTATCTGATTTGGGATAAAGAAAAAGGAGCATTAACCTTGACTCTGCCTTTAGCTCCAGCCACCTTTTTAAGAGTAAATTGCTGGGCAGGTGGGGGAGGGCTAGTCACAGGACGAAACTGTAAGCAGGACCAGGTGTGAGGAGGGGAGGTGATAAAAGGATTATTGGGTGGAGGAGCGGAGGCTGAGGAAGAATTGGGACCTAGCTCAGCCTGGCGAGGAGCAGCCTGGGGAGGAAGGGAGAGGTCAGATGGGTCTATAGAAAAGGAAGATGAGAAAGACTCAGAGACGCTTGGGGTTGGTACTGAGGGGACAGGTGGGAGGGAAAGAAGGAAGATTTGGGATGAGTTGCAGTGGGCACAGAGACTAGGAAGGGACTGATGTGTAAAAGAATGCCTGGACATCAGGCACCTCAGACCGTTTGCCTATTTTACGACAAGAATTATTTAGATTTTGCAGGATGGAAAAATTCAAAGTGCCATTTTCTGGCTATTTAGAACTACTGTCGAGTTTGTATTGGGGTCAAGCGGCATTGCAGAAGAAAATAAGGCATTTAGGTTTTAGGTCAGGTGTGAGTTGAAGAGGTTTTAAGTTCTTAAGAATATAGGCTAAGGGAGAAGAAGGAGGAATGGAAGGTGGAAGCTTACCCATAGTGAAGGAGGCAAGCCCAGAGAAAAGAGTAGAGACACGGAGAAGGGGTGGGGGGTTCTTGCCCTCCAGAAAAGCAGAGAAGGAGTTGGGGCACAGAAATAAGGGATTGGGGCACAGAGATAAGAGGTCAGGGTGCGGAAATAAGGGATTGGGGCACAGAGATAAGAGCTTGGGGCGTGGAAATAAGCGATTGGGGGGTTCTTGCTGCCTAGGAAAGCAGGACTTGCTGCTAAGGGTGAAGGAGAAGGGGTTGAGGGGTACTTGCCCCTGCCCCAGGAAAGCAGGGCTTGCCGCTAAGGGTGAAGGAGAGGGGGTTGAGGGGTATTTGCCCCTGCCCCAGAAAAGCACAGAAGGGGTAGAGACAAGGAGAGAAGGGGTTGAGGGGTATTTGCCCCTTCCCCAGGAAAGCGGGACTTGCCGCTAAGGGTGAAGGACTAAGGCAGGCGTCCCTGCGTGGTCTGACACCCTTGAAATGTGAGTGTATAATCAGAGAGGCATCCCTGCAATGATTAAACACCAAGGGAAGGCTGCCTTCCCAGTCCGTGACCGGTGCCGGAGTTTTGGGTCCATGGATAAAACGTGTCTCCTTTGTCTCTACCAGAAAATGAAAGGAATTGAAATTAAGAGAAGAGAGAGATTGAAGTGCGGCACCAAGATTGAAAGGAGAAAGAGGTTGAGGGATAGTGAAGGAGGTTGGAGAAGAGAGTAAAAAGAGGCTGCTTACCGGATTTGAAATTGGTGAGATGTTTCTTGGGCTGGTCGGTCTGAGGACCTGAGGTCCTAGGTGGATCTTTCTCACGGAGCAAAGAGCAGGAGGACAGGGGATTGATCTCCCCAGGGAGGTCCCCCGATCCGAGTCACGGCACCAAATTTCATGCGCGTCCGTGTGAAGAGACCACCAAACAGGCTTTGTGTGAGCAACATGGCTGTTTATTTCACCTGGGTGCAGGTGGGCTGAGTCCAAAAAGAGAGTCAGCAAAGGGAGATAAGGGTGGGGCCGTTTTATAGGATTTGGGTAGGTAAAGGAAAATTACAGTCAAAGGGGGTTGTTCCTTGGCGGGCAGGAGTGGGGGTCGCAAGGTGCTCAGTGGGGGTGCTTTTTGAGCCAGGATGAGCCAGGAAAAGGACTTTCACAAGGTAATGTCATCAGTTAAGGCAAGGACCGGCCATTTACACTTCTTTTGTGGTGGAATGTCATCAATTAAGGTGGGGCAGGGCATATTCACTTCCTTTGTGATTCTTCAGTTACTTCAGGCCATCTGGGCGTATGCGTGCAAGTCACAGGGGATGCAATGGCTTGGCTTGGGCTCAGAGGCCTGACAGTAGGCTCCGGAGGGAACGCATGCAAAGTGGCACCGGTGCCCACCTAAAGGCAGAGACATCTGGAGAATGCTCCAGGTAATCCTGCAGACCTCAACCTGCCCAAAGGGACACTCTGCAGAGGTTCTGAGGTCTAGTATTAAGCCCTCTTTAGAATTTTCTCTCTCACTTGCAATGATGCTTGGCTCCAAAATTGTTCAGAATCTGAACTTTGCTGTCTAATCAGAAAGTGGGATGGTGTTGCATGTATCCAGGCTTTTGTGCTGCTGTTCTAAGCAGAAGGCCTGTTTAATATGTGATGCCCTCCTTTGGTACTGTTTGGCCTCAGTGCTTTTTGGAATCTGGGGAGGTTTGGCCTTTAAAAATCAAACTACCTGCTGGGCGTGGCGTCCACACCTGTAATCCCAGCACTTTGGGAGGCTGAGGCAGGCAGATCACGAGGTCAAGAGTTCGAGACCAGCCTGACCAACATAATGAAACCCCATCTCTACTAAAAAAATACAAAAAATTACCCAGGCACGGTGGCGCACGCCTGTAATCCAGCTACTCAGGAGGCAGAGGCAGGAGAATCACTTGAACCCGGGAGGCGGAGGTTGCAGTGAGCAGAGATTGAGCCACTACACTCTGTTCTGGGCAACAGAGCAAGACTCTGTCTCCAAAAAAAAAAAAAGAAAGAAAAAAAATCAAACTGCCATGGAGACTGCTTTATCTGAAATTTTGATTCACAGCCTTCAATGGATTATCTATTGGGGCAAAGTAAAACTGGCGAAGTATTGTATTGCTGTCTCATGGCTAAGGTCCCAAGCTATTAGATCTTTGTTTATGTGTGTATATATATATATGTTTAGATGTGTTTATTTGTATGTACACTTATTGTTATATGTTGTGTCTACCAAATTGGCTTGTAAGTAAATGAGCGCTCATAAATTAAGTAAGTCTAAGCTATTTTCAAGTTCACATGACTTAAAGTATAACTTTACTAAACAAGACAGCTTTAAAATTATTGGTGGAATAAAAATAGAAATGCCTTTAGAATTGTCAGCATACATTTTGTCTGAATTTTATGTTTGTCTTCGCTAGATATTTTAAAATGTCATTGTTAATTCAAGCTGGGAGTTGCTTGGGGCAAGCCTGCCTCCCATTCTATTCAAAGTCTCACTGAGATGAGTGCAGATCTGATTGCTTCCTTTGGAAAGGCTAATCAGAAACTCAAAAGAATGCAACTTTTTGTCTTCCAACTACCTGAATCTGAAAGCCCCCATTCCCCCAACCTGCCTCAAGTTCTCCTGCCTTTCCAGACCAATGTGATGTTCATTTTACATATGCCGATTGATGTCTTGTGTCTCCCTCCTTAAAAGTAAAAATTAAGTACAGCGAATGGGATAAATGTTTTAGATAAACTTTTCTTGTAAATTAAAATCTTAAACTTATTTTAATGCTCACTTAATATTTGGGTCATTTCCAATTAAGAAAGGGTTGTGATATTGGGAAATATGTTTCTAAAATTGTGGAATTGTTTTTATCTATAAATGCCCATATCTGATAGCTCAGGATTTCTTGCTTTTTAGGGTTTCACTAAAGCTTTAGGTTACCAAAGATAAAAAATTTAGTTAACTGGTAATTCTGTATACAAAATGTGCCAGAAAGTTTATGTTATTAGTGGAAAAAAGAATAATTTTTTCTAATTCAGAAGTTATCTAAAAGTTAGTTTAATTTACAGATTCGAAAAGGTTATTTATAAAACAATGCAATAAGGAATCATTAAATAGGAGAGAAAGATGTGAAAAAAGTTTCAATAATAAAATATTTCTTAAAACCTGATAATTGAAGACATTTGGCTAATTAACATTTTCATAGTTAAAGCTCTTAGTCTTGATTAAAGTTAAATAAGAAGAATTGTAAAGAAATGCATCGGCAGTTTGGCTATTCCTTTTTTACATAGTTAAGCATGAAGCTGGAGTTAATGTGGAGCCAAATTTCACATACATGCTTGCATTGCTTCACACTATGTTTATTGTGTTGCATGGACAGCGCTGGCACTGGAGTACTGATCAGTCATGTGCCTAAGGTAAATTTATTGATTGCAAAAGATGTATGATAATATTAGTGAGCTTAAGGATATTGAATTGTGTATCAGGAATAAAACATTCATTATGTGGGGTTTTTTTGGCCCTAGGTAACACTGTAGCCTCCAGGGTAAATTAAGTGGGAAAATTTAGGGTTGGTTTTCTGTTTGTTTTTGCTTCTAGTTGTCTTTCTCTTTTTAATTTAAAAGTAAACTTTAATGTCAAAAATGCAAACTTGGGGAGGGCATAAAGATCACACACATGACTGCCACTTCATACTTGGAGGGTTGCACAGCGGCGGCCGGGCAACGGCGCTCCTCACTTCTCAGACGGTGGGGCGGCCAGGGAGAGGCGCTCCTTACTTCCCAGACGGTGGCGCAGTGGTGCAGAGGCATTAGTCAAGTGTGGCCGCCAGGCAGAGGCGCATCTCACTTCCCAGGCAGGACCGCCACAGGGCAGAGGCGCATCTCACTTCCCAGGCAGGACCGCCACAGGGCAGAGGCGCTCCTCACTTCCCAGAAGGTGTGGCAGCCAGGCAGAGGCGCTCCTCACTTCACAGACGGTAGGGCATCCAGGCAGAGGCGCTTCTCACGTCCCAGTCGGGGCGGCGGCCGGGCAGAGGGTCACCTCACTTCCCAGATGGTGGGACGGCCGGGCAGATGTGCTCCCCACTTCCCAGACAGTGGGGCAGCCGGGCAGAGGGGCTCCTCACTTTCCAGACGATGGGGCGGCCGGGCAGAGAGGCTCCTCACTTCCCAGATGGTGGGGCGTCTGGGCAGAGGCGCTCCTCACTTCTCAGATGGTGAGGCCGCTGGGCAGAGGCGTTCCTAGCTTCCCAGACATTGCGGCCCGGGCAGAGGCCTCTTCACTTCCTACACGGTGTGGGGGCCGGGCAGAGGCGCTCCTCACTTCCCAGACGGTTTACTTCTAGTTTTCATTTGTTCACTGTTTATTCTTCTCTGGCTTTGCTTGTGTTTGCATATATAAAAAAAACATTTTTGTTTTAGTTTCTAGTGGAAGGCTTTTGTTTCTGTGAATAGTTATTTTGTTTCCTATGCATTTCTAGCAAGTCATCATTTCTTCCATTTATTTGGAATTCCTAGGCTACCTTTGATGGGCCGAGAGGAATTGATAGAGCACACCAGCCTTTTAACCTTAAACTAACTTTTTGGATTTTAGGCTTCCTGATACTTTAAGTGTGTTGAGTATACGCTCCTAGATACAATTTAAGTCATATTTCTCTCTTTGCCTAACATAAAGTAAAAGTCACTGTTTATTTCCTCTGTAAAGTTTTAAATTAATTGGCTTAATAATAAGATCTTAAATATTTTGTCAGAAAAGTGAAAAATATAATGCCTTTTATTTAGTTCATGTAACTTGAGTGATCTTTGGGAAATAAAGATAGTTTTAAAGATTACTGGTAAAATACAAATGTCTTCATAATGTAAACATGTGGTCTAAATTATGTTCAAATGTTAGGTTTGCTAAATGCGTTAAGGTCATAAGCTGCTTGTTTGGCTTTTGAAAATTGTTTAACTTGTCTGCTTTCCAGCTAGGTAAGGCCTGGGGACATGTGGAGTTGGCCACATTCCTAGCTGTGCTGGAGATAGTCAAACCTTATCAGAACACAACTTACCAGGATTTATATTAAAATTTGCCATTGTAACATGCAATTAACACTACTAGACACAGCTTTACATGCAAAATGTGTAAAAACAGTAGAATTTGGATTTTTTGTGGGGGGTTAAAGATTATAAAAAAGTTTTTACTTATTTAAATCCCTAAGTCATCATTTTGGCAAAATAAATAATTTATGGTAATCTGAAATTCCAAAATCAAACTTCAGTTCCAAAATTGTCTTTCTTGGTGGCTGGCTTTTAGGATGAATCAGAGGGCCCCTTAAAACATCCAGAAAGGAGATAAACAGGATTATTTAACGTGTTTAGTTACACGAGATTGTCAAAATGATGCTTAATATTGTTTGGGTCATATTTTTGTGACTAATACTAATATATGTTCCAAAATTGTATGAGATTGCTAAAATTCTAATATCTAAATATATACTGTCAATTATAATTATGGTTATTATGTTAAGTTATTGTAAATCACAGAAATAACCGAATTTCCTTGTCAGTGCTATGCACCAAATTTGGAAATACAACTGGTATTCAAGAGGATATAAGTCTAATGTTAATTAAGCATGGGTTCGTGGAGAACCAGGATGGCCTTCTTGTCCTTCCTGAGCCCTTAAAGCTTTTATTATTAACAGTTCTGCATTCCATAATTCATCATGAAAAATATAAAATAATCCAAATTGAATACATAGGTGTGGTATCTTACAAATTACTAGAATAGTTTATAACCAATGTTTGGCCCCATATTTCTGGAAAAACAATTAAAGCTGCAGTTACACTTGGTTACCTGGTAGGCCATTTAAACACTTTATAAAGGGATTTCATTCAATTGTTACTTTTAATGCATCTTTTCTGGTTGTATAAAAGCTTTCCCATGCAAGAGGGCTGATGTTATAAGAGAAGATTATTATGCTACAGTGTATTTTCATCAGGTAAAGAAAGCTTTTATAGTTTGAATATTCTGGAAACATCAGGAAAAAACTGTCCTTGCTACGCACACTACAACAAAACTTTGGGACCCTGGGCTTTGGGTTCATGGTCTTGCAGTTGAGAAGGGTCCCTCCACACTCTTGGAGCTGTACACCCTTTGGAACCCTTAAGATAAAACTAACCAGGGAAATTTCTCCCAAGAAAAAGATGGCATCCTTTATGTAAACAGCTTTCCCCAAGTTTACAGATTAAGACTTCTACTATCATGAAGCTCTTTGAATATTTTTTCCTTGCTTCTGCCTCTATGAGGAATAGAAGTGAAAAAGGGGTCTGTTATGGCCACTTATGGGGTATATTTTTATTTGGGAAGGGGTTTGCAGCCAGCCTTAAACATGGATAAACTTATACTATGAAAAATCAAAGATAAAGACCCAACATAGGTACGAAACTTTAATGGTACATGTGTTGCCTCATAATCAGTCAAAAATAAAACATTGGTTCACCCCTGTTGACCCACATCAGGGGTTAAAAAGAGCATTGCCAGGAGGTCTTCATTCTTCTAGAAGGGCATTGTCTGTTACTTCCTTTTTCCATAGTGAAAGAGGCAATAACTAGAAATGTATCCCCCATGATAGGCTCTATAGCAAATAATACTGTAAAGGCTACAATTTCACAAGACTTTAAATTCTATTGTGAAACTTATAATGGGATTGGCTGAACAGAAAAGTATCTGTGCAGCTTCTGGAACTTGTGACCTATAAAGGAATACATCAAATGAGAATTATAGAAATTCAGTGGTAGTGGATTAATGAAGAAACTGCTTAGTTAAGTCAGTCTTTGATCTATTTGATTTTAGGAAGTTTGGTTTATGGGGACATTGGGTAAGGAGCATAGTCCAAACTGTTGGTATTATCCTCCCAATAGTCATAATAATAGTGTCCCTGGTGTGCTGTATTATCTCAAAGGTTTTAAATGCTTGCATGCAGTCATCTCTAGAATGTCGTATGGTCTCTCTTAAGCTGGAATAACAGGAGCTGAAAGAAATGTGCAACCATGAGGACACCATAACCTAATGTGCTGAAACCAGAAACCCAAAATGATGTTGACTAAGTGGTGCTAAGGCCCTAAGTTTTGGTTAAACTCTCACCTAAGTGAGAACCTAACCAAAAAGGTGGAATTTTTTAAACAAAATTCTGGGAGGCCATTGTTTTGAAGTAATCTCATGCACTAGGCCCCAATAGTCCAAACCAAACCAAATGGAGTGACTTGTGCTAAGACTTTAAGGAAACACATAGATTCTAGAACAAACCAGGTTTTGTTTTTTCTCTTGCAATTCTCTATAACAAACATTCCTGACAGCAGAAGTATCCACCCCATGAAGTTCCCATTAAATCTTTTAACCAAATTCATTTCCTCTCACCTAGAAAGCATCAAGCTTTAGATGATCATGCAACAAAGGGTCCAGCCAGTTCCAAGTGAAGACACCACCCCTGGCCATCAAGGAGCTACCTTGCCTCTACTAGACACAGCAGAATGACAGTTTTGTGATCCCCAGTAGGTAGGGACTGTGCCTCAAGCCAGCATAAAGCAGTTACAGAAAAAAGACCATTGGTCCCTGTGCCTCCCATAAAAATGTATGAGGATCACATCTCTCGGGGCAGATGAGGCAGGAAAATAGGGTCTGGAGGCAGGGAACATAAGGCCGATTCACACTTCAGCTATGACAAGAAATATCCTCTCCATAGGGCGTAGGCCAAGTAAATGACTTTGTAACTTTACTTCATCCTCTCCATTTACAAAGGGCATACCCGAAGTAACCGATGGAATCCTCTAGAAGGTGTTGCAACTCCCCAAAATACTGTAATGGGGCCCTTGATCCCCTATGCTTGAGCCCGCTCCCACACTGTGGAGTGTACATTTATTTTCAATAAACCCCTTCATTCCTTCCTTGCTTTGTGTGGTTTGTCCAATTCTTTATTCAAGGTGCCAAGAACCTGGACAGTCTCCACTGGTGACACAAGGTGCTCTCCTACTGCAAAAGACAAATCATTTAAAAATATGTATACATAATAATATTTCTAAAGACATGGGATTCAAAAGTACTAGCACTTAAGACCACACGCTTTCAGAAATAAAGCCCTAATTGTTCAATAAGCCTCATCTGAGCACTACATTTTAACTATATATATAATTAGGATTTTAAAATTTGAATCATAAAAATGCAAAAATCATGAAGTAGCACTATTACCAATGTACAAAAATTGTTCTGTAAGAAAAAACACATTTACACTTGAATTAATTGAGGTTTGACTACCTCCATAACCCATATTTATCTAACTTGCCCTGCCAGAAATGTTCACCATTAACCAATTCTTTGTGTTAAAGCATTATTACCTCCCTCTATCAGATTGCATATATTATCCAACAGGGAGTAGAACATTAAGCCATTAAATGTAAACTTCAGATTTGTTAGATTTTAAAAAATGAGACAGAGCCAGTTATTTTCAATTGAGGCAAATTTCTCATACAATAAAATTAGCTGCTTAAAAATAAATAATTCAGTACCATTAATTATATTAACAATGTTGTGCAATCACCTCTATCTAGTTCTAAACATTTTCATCACCCCAAAATAATATCACATACTCAGTAAGCAGTTATTCTCCACTCTCACTTTCCCCCAGCCTTTGAAAACCATCAATCTACTTTTCATTTCTGTGAATTTGCCTATTCACAAATTATATATAAATTGGATCATATAATATATGACCTTTTGTGTCTTAACAAAAAACATTTTTCAGGTTATAGCATATATAGGTACTTTATTCCTTTTTATAGCTAAGTATTTTCCATTTTATGTATATAACACCATTTATTTGTCCATTAAGCTACTTATAGACATTTGGGTGTGTCCAGCTTTTGTCAATTGTGACTAGTGCTACTATGAATATTTGTGTGCAAGTATTTATTTTAGTACTAGTATTCTATTCTTTTGAGTGTATACCTTGAAGTGGAATTGCTGGATTATATAGTAATTCTATGTTTAACTTTTTAAAGAACTGCTCCTATACTCTTTCTTTTTATGAATCTACCTTGGGTCTCAGGTGATCCCCCACAATGAAATGGCCTTGTTGTCTGGGGTGACACCCGAGGTTTCTTGTCTCAGCCACAGATATCAAGGATGTGGACACACAAATAGTGAAGTTAAGGGGGAAATTGGATAGGTGAAAGAAAGATAATTGCTTTCTGTTATAGAGAGGGGTCCCAGAAAAATGGGTTGCTGACCTGCAGTGAAATGAAGGAGCTTTTATAGATGAGCTGGTGGGGAGATGGTGTCTGATCTACACAGGGCACGAAAAAACAGAACCAGGTTTGCCATCTGCATATGGCATGAATCTCTGTATTATTCAGGTGGGTTTTCTACCTGAGCTGCTCCATGTTGCCCATTTCTTTCTTACTGTACAAGTGCTAACGAAAAAAAAAGAAAACGGAGCTTCCAGGGTGGACATGCCTGGCCCCCAGGTTGCCCTTTTCTATTGGCGTAGCTGCTGGCATTTCCCCGTGCAAACTTCGAGCTTCCTTATCTATATTTGCAGTTCAGTATTTCAGGCTGCTCTTTGTTAGAAATAAAATGATTTCTTGGGTTGCATTTTGTTAGAAGGGAAGTTCTGCCAAAGAATCTTTTGCTCTCACTATCTGCCTAAATAATTTCTATCTCCTGTATCAGAACTGTCAACATTTTCTACAGCAACTGACCAATTTTACATTCTCATAAGTAACGTAAAAGGCTTGCAATTTCTCCGTATCCTTGACAATGCTAGTTATTTTTCTGATTTTTAAAAATTGCCGTGTAAGTGGGAGTGAAGTGGTATCTCACTGTGATTTTGGTTTGCAGTGACCTAATGACTAATAATGTTTAGCATCTTTTCAAGTGTCATTTGCACATCTCTAGAGGAACATCAATTCAAGTCCGTGGGCTGGTTGTATGAGATTGTTTTCCATGTTGTTATTGTTGTTAAAGACTTCTAAGAGTTGAATGGGAGTGTTTTTCATTTTGTTATTGAGTAGAAGGCGTTCTTTATAAAATCTGGATACTAGATTCTTATCAGATATGTGATTTGCAAATATTTTCTCCCATTCCGTAAGTTGTCTTTCTCTTCCTGGATAATGTCCTTTAACATGAAAAACGTTTTCATTTTAACAAACTCCAATTTATCTATTTTTTCTTCTGTTGGTTGTACTCTTGATGTCAGATCTCAGAATCCGTTGCCAAATCCAAGGTCATGAAGGTCAGGAAAACGCTTTTTTTCCTAAGAGTTTTAGAGTTTAGCTCTTATCATTAAGTCTTTGATAAAATTTTAAGTACATTTTTGTATATGTATATATACATAATTTATATATTTTTGTATAATTTTGTATAAAGCTGCAACTTTATTATTTTGTATGTGAATATCTATTTGTCACAGCACCATTTTTTGGAGGAAACTATTCTTTACCTGTTGAATGATCTTGGCATCCTTGTTGAAAATCAATTGACCATACATACATGTGATTATTCCTGGACTCTCAATCCTGTTCCATCAGTGCATATGTCTGTTCTTATGCTAGGACCATACTGTTTAATTACTGTAGTTTTGTAGTAAGTTATAAAATGTGAAAATAATAGTCCTTCAACTTCGTTCCTCTACTTTGTGAGTGTTTTAATATTCAAGGCTCTTTGCAATTTCATATGAATTCAAGAATTGTGTTTTCCGTTTCTGCAGAAAGGCTCTTAGAATTTTTATGATTGCATTGAGTCTATAGATTGCTTGAAGTTAGCATTGCCGTTTTAACAAAAGTAAGTCTTCTAATCCATAAACATGAAATGTCTTTCCATTTATTTATGTATTCTTTAGTTTATTAATGTTTTGTAGTTTTCAGTGTATGCGCTGTTCACATATTTGGTTGAATTTATTCCTAAATACTTAACTTTTTTGGACACTATTATAGATGGAATTATTTCCATTATTTCCTTTTCAGATTGTTTATTATTAGTGTATAAAAAGACAGCTGATTTTTATATGTTGGTTTTTACCCAGAAGCTTTGCTAAATTCATTATTAGGTCTATCAGGTTTTGGTGGATCCTGTGGGATTTTCCATACATAGAATCATGTCATCTATGAATCAGTTTTGATAGGGGTGTGAAGAAGTAAATAAAATCATACAGTATCTGATCTATTCTGTCTGGCATATTTCACTTAGCATAAATGTTTTTCAGGTTATACAGTGTATCACTGTTTCATTCCTTTTTATGGTTGGATATTTTCATATATATCACAATTTGTTTATTCATTAACTGCCCATGGACATTCAGGTTGTTTTTAACTTTTGTCTATTTTGAATAATGCTACTATGAGTATTTGTGTACAAGTAATTTTTTGAGTACCAGTATGTAAACCTTTTGAGCATATACCTAGAAGTAGAATTGCTTGGTTATATCATCTTTAGGTCATATAGAAAAGAAAATATTCATAACATAGGAGTGCAGAGGATGTAAGTCTTGCATAGGATGCCACAATTGCTATAGAGGAAGAAGAGCCAGAGGGATAAATAGAATATTAAATTCCCAGGAAATGTGTAGAAAGAAAGAAGTTAAATGGATTAGAGAAATTTGTAAGGTGAGGTTTTGGTACTTCACAATTTATTCAATAGCCAGCTTTATTCACAGCAGAAAGGAAATGCCACAGTTAATCAAAATTTTTGTAAAAGATGGTTCTTTTGTATTGTAAAGATGGTGCTTAGAGACACATTCTTGTTGTAACAAAAACGTGACCCTCTGGAGAAAAACTAGGTCAAATCCTTAAATTCTGTACATATATATATAGTGTTTAACATATAAAGTAATATGTTTTATTTTAATTGATGCTTCCAATTAAATCATTTAGTCTTTCCAAACAATCTTATGGCAGGCAACATGGTGTTTAAATCCATTTAATAAAGTAGGTTTGCATTTTAAGAATTCCTATAGTAGATAGTATTTTAAAATCTGCCTACCTACTTCAACACAATTGAGTTTCAAAAGTTTCAATTTTGATTCATGACAAAAATCCAAAACTAGAATCCTCTATTTTATATGCATTATTTTTTAGTTATGTTTGAATAATGATAAACAGAAAACTACCCAAGCATAGGTCATTCTAATCTACTACTCAATTTTAACCTCATCATATATCAGTAGATTAAATAAATTGTCATTTCTATCACTTGATTCCCATCTGCCATTGATTACATTGATTACATTGGTTTTCCTTTTTAACCCTATTATTTAACATAATCAAGACATCAAGTAAATGCCTGAACTAGAAATCTAATTTCTTTTTGGACATCTTTCTTCCAGTCTTCACACACATCTAATTCATCAAAGTTTTGAAATTTCTACTTACAAAGAATATCCCACTTCTCCATTTCTCTTTCTCCCCACCATCACCAGCCTAGGATAGGCCACCCCCATCTCTTGGCTGAATATTAAAATAGCCTTATCTTTTTTGTTTGTTTTTGTTTTTGTTTTTGTTTTTGTTTGCACCCAGTTCCCCTGTCCACCTAATTATGCTGTTCATACAGAAATGAGAATAATCTTTTAAAAATGTAAATTAGAAAATTTCACTGTCTCATTCAAATCCTCCAGTGTCTTCTCCCTTTACACTTAGAATTTAATATTCAAACTCTTTATTAAAACCTGTAAAACCCTGCATGATCTGAACTTTTACTGACTCCCCCATACTTTCTGCTACTTTCTCCCTCACACGATATGCTCCAGCCACTTTATGACCCTCCATATGCTAAATTTATTACCTCTTCTGAGCGTCTTATTTTCCTGTTATTTCTACTTGAAAGGCTTTTCCAGCTGGTCAGCACCTTATTCAGCTAACTTATTAAGATCTTAGCTCCAATGAAACCTCTTAAAGCTGGTCTTCCTTTACAACCTGATCTAAATTGGCTGTCTAATCTCTCCCCTTTTCCAAATTCTTTTTCACAACATTCGGTTCTTTTCTACAGAAGTCTTATCAATATATATATATATATATATATATATATATATATATATATATCACCATTTATATATACTTTATGAGTCACATAAACTAATCTAGTCATTTTCAATGCCTTGCTTTGCTCTATTAAGCTACATTAACTTAGCTCTAGAGAATTTCCTCTTGGTTCAAAATGGAGGGCTAAAGTGCTGAGCTAGTATTGGGGCAAGATTTAGTAATGTTATAAATAATTAAGTGTATATATATGTAATATATATACATTACATATATATATATTTGTGTCTCCTCTACTAGATTTTAAGCTTCATAAAGTCATATCCTTGTATTTACTGATTACCAATCTATAATATGCACCTAGACTGGTACCTGATTTTAAAAAAAAATAACATTTCTTCACTGTATAAATAACTTTTATTCTGTTAAGGAAAAAGCAACTACCAGTTTATTTTCTCAACTCAATTCATTACTTCCCTCCACAAATTTTGTCCTTTCTCTTACATATTTAATGTCTTCTACTCAACTTTTTTTTTTTTTCATTTCTGTTGTACATATGTTCTAATTATCTTTGGGAAAACAAAATAAAAACTTTACCCCATCTGTCAAGACATGCCTTGATTTCTCAGCCTCTGCCTTGCCAGCTGTTTCCACCTGGACACCTATGAGTTGAAAACTTGGTCCTTAGCTGATCCAAAATGATATATACATTACAGCAAAGACTGTAGCTCTAATTCTAGTGACATGGGTAGTAATAGCTATATATTGAGTTCCCCCAAAAATCTTACTGCCAGACAGTCTAGAATCTGCTTCACTGGAGAGAGACCCTTCAGAATGTGCTTCCCTGGGTTCACAGATATACTATGCATCTGCATGTTCATTTCATAGAGGCCAAGAGAGACTTTCCTCTTGCTCTCTGAATGTTTGCTGAAAATCACTGACATAAGGTAGATTAATAGGAGAAAAGGCATTCACATTTATTGTGCAGATGGGGAGCATCACAGAGTGATTTCTCACTCTCCAGTGGAGTTCAGAAACTTATATACCATCCTGCAAAAAAAGGTTATGAAAGGTGGGAGAAGAGAATCTGTTAAGGGGATCACTAGGAAGAATAATTAGATCAGGGAACAAATAACTTGTACATTATCTTGTGAAAGGGTTTGTTAAGATGTAATTATACTCTTGGCTTTATAGAGAAGGAAGAAAAAATGTTCTCCTTGGTGGATCTGGATCTTAAGAAAAAAAATCTGAAGGATTTGGGAGAGAGAGTATGCAGGGGAAGAAAATCATAGAGACATCGAAGTTTCTTCAGAACGTCAATGTACCATATTTTGGAGTATTGACTTCTGAGCCCTAACATTTCATTCACCAGATGTGGGTTTTTGTCTTAGTTTATATTTCTTAATTTTGACAGGTTATTCTTTCTGTCTAGTTTTTATTCCAGGACTAGAGTCCTGCCACGTCTCTTGTTCACCTACTGGTCACCCTGCTGTTTTTTGTTTTTTGTTTTTTGTTTTTGACTTACTTATACCCTATCTTCACTGGAGCTGGAGAATTGCTCAGTAGTTCAGTCTTGGGGCTGGGCTGGGGACTCGGGATTTAATCCTTTTATTTTCCTGAAAAAAAAAAAAAAAAAAGATTCTAAAGAAGGGCTGACCACTCCTTAAATCTCTTACAATTGAGATCCTTCTGTCTGAGTAATCTCAGGACCAACTATTTCCAAATTGTTATTGAGATTTCAGTGGGTGGAACAATCAACTTTACTACCACGCTCTTAGTCCTGCTCTTAAGAAGCAGCCTTAAACATCAAGTTCTGCCTACCTCTGGCTTCTCGTTTGTGTAACATTTTTTAAAACTTTATACAATTATTTCCTTTATTTTGGCAACCTCGACCTGATGTTTATTTAATTGTAATCTGATGTCTTTCTCTTTCTCATTATTAAGACTGTTGTTTGAAATGATTTCCAAATGATAAAACTAATTTTGTAGTTGTCATTAAAATTTATTTCCCTGCAGTAGTTGACTAATGATCCCTTTTTTATTGAAATATTCTTAAACTTTATAGTTTGTGACCTTTTATTATCTTGTTTTTCCTCTCATCTTTTCAACTAGGCTTATTGTTGCTTTTCTAACAACTCCTTTTTCCTGCTGCTCCTTAATATAAGGCTTTGCCCTTGATTTAATTTTACTTTGCTCCTTAGATCATTTTTTAATTTCATTATCTTAATTATCACTTCTATGTGAAGTTTGTATACTTAGTTCAAACTTCTCTGGAACACTGTTCTTTTTTTTGTTTTGTTTTTTGAGACAGAGTCTTGCTCTGTCGCTTAGGCTGGATTGCAGTGGCGCGATCTCAGTTTACTGTAAGCTCTGCCTCCCGGGTTCACACCACTCTTCTGCCTCAGCCTCCCAAGTAGCTGGGAATACAGGTGCCCGCCACCACGCCCGGTGAATTTTTTGTATTTTTAGTAGAGATGGGGTTTCACCGTGTTAGTCAGGATGGTCTCAGTCTCCTGACCTCGTGATCTGCCCACCTTGGCCTCCCAAGGTGCTGAGATTACAGGTGTGAGCCACTGCGCCTGGCCTGGAACACTGTTCTTATATTTCTATTTGATAGTTGGCTATTTCCATTTTGAAGTTCTATCATGATCTCACTCTCAATATGTCAAAACATTGAGCCCATTATCTAATGAACCATAACTCATTTTTTTTTAATGGTTACCCATCTTTTTTCAGTTTTCAGTCTTCAAACTTAAAAATTACTTTTACATCCTCCTACATCACTCACTAATCAGTATGTATTATCAAGCTTTTCATTACATTGTTTCTCACATAAGACTCTTTATATTCGGCTTTTTTTCCAGAAACTGAGCTTAATCTTTCATGTCACATAAGCTATAGAAACATTTGCCTAATCATATCTTCTGTTCTCAATAATAATTCTTCTAGAGCAGTCATCTACAAATTTGAGGTGCTTTGACACAAAGGTATTCAAGATTACTCTTTAGAATTGTTAAGTTTAGTCTAAATCTGCCACCTTATTTTGAATTCAACCTAGAGATTTCTGTGTACACAATGAACTGTAATCTAACTGGGTTTAAAAATAGACTGCACCTATTCTTGTACCAATCCTTGAGTTTTGGCCAGTCAAAGGCAACCAACTGTTCAGCCCATGTTGAAATAAGCAAAACACCAAGCTGTATCCAATCCAGCTGTTTCTGGACCTCACTTTCAGTTCTTGTATGTCACTTTCTTAATCCACAAATATTTTTCAACCATGAGATATCACTGGAGATTCTCTGAACATATTCCAGTCTGGGAGGCTGTCCCATTCATAAATTATGCTTTGCCCAAGTAAACATTGATAAATTTAGGTTGTCTAAAGTATTTCTTGGTGGAAGGGACAAGATGGCCAACTAGATGCAGCTGGAAAGCACCTCTTTTACTGAGAGAAACCAAAATCTTGGGTAAACAACTACAGTTCAAACCAATCTTTTAGAGAAAACACTGAAAGTTGACAGAGACACAACACAACTCCAAGATTAAACAGGGAGGAAGCTGAGAAGTCCACATAGAGTCACCAGACCAGGCTCTTGGTCCTGAACAGGCCCTAAGGAAGAGGTAAATGAAGGAACTCTGTGACATCACAATCCTGCTGTGAGTCTCTGGAATCCTAGCTACAAGAGATGTTGTAACCCTCATAGACATTTCAATTGACAGAGGGAACTGCCTGAACAGTAGGCAGAGGCAGAGAATAAACTTGGACAGAACCAAAATATTATATGGCACACAGGGCAACTGCAGCAAAACGTGACTGTAAGTACCCATCCCCAAAGGTTCTCCATCTTGCTTTGAATGGGCATAGCCCCTCCTGACTTTTGGCTGGGAGAGAGGAAGCCTGCCTTCCCTGCAGCATCAAGGCACAACTTACCTGCATGCCCCCCTTTTTCACTGGCCCATCACAAAGCAAGCTGCCTTTCAGCTCCCACAAGAGAATGCACACAGCACAGCCTCCACTATTCTGTCTGAGTGTTTTGCCAGCAGCCGGAGAGCAGTTCGACAGCCTGGTACAGCCAGTGTTTGCCCCCAAGAGGTCAGAGGACAAAGCCACAGGACTAGTTTCAACCCCCTAGGGTTTGAGCACACCAACCACAGTTATTGAGCTGAGATTTTTGGCTAGAGTTCAAGTGTGGGGGGGAACCCCAAGTCTTAGAACACAGAGAAGAGTGAGGTGTGGATTCATGTGCTGGTGTGGGAGCTAAATGTCCCTCCGTCTGCAAGACCAGTCAGGGAAAGGTGGAGCTTGTTGACCAGTCACAGTTTCTGCCTGAGGGAGCCCCATGGTCCTGATCACCCGGAACATGCCAGCAATCTGAGTGCAGAAGGTTTGAGACAAAACTAGCTGATCAGGCTAGATACTGGGATCCCTTTGCACAAGGACCCTCCACCCTTGACCCACTATATCACCAGATCACCTGCAGACATACCCCACAACCTGCTTTGTCTTTGCTAAGCTCAGAAAACCAATGCGTCCCTGAGTTGCAGGAATCCTGGTGACCTAAACTTTGGCTCTGGCCACCCTTAAGGGAGGAGGAGTGCAGGCTGCCAGGGCTCCCCTTGGAGCTAAGAGAAAATGAGCACAGCACCAGTGATTAAAAGGGGTTACCCAAGGCCCAGGAACAGACTTGGGAGGGAGTTATTTCTTGCACATCCCCATCTCTCCCTCCCTAGAACACTATTGTATATGAGCCTATCTGCCGACCCTTACTCTTAAGCACCGTCTACTGGATCACAGCCTGAACAACATTACTAACAAAAGTAAATTCATTTCACACTGTGAAACCCAATGTAGAAAGTCAATCATAACTGTGGAACTCATACAGAGCTTTGGCCCTCAGAAAGCACCCAGAAATGAAACTAATCAACTGTAGATGCTATACACCATAGTCAAACAACCAAGGGGAAAGTATAATATATAAGCAAAAAAAAAAACCTCATTTAAGTGACAGCAATTTCAAAGAGATAAAGGAACACCAGCTTCTCCGATGAGAAAGAACCAGTGAAAGAACTTCAGCAATTCAAGAAGTCAGAGAGTTTTCTTACCTCTAGATATTCTCAGTAGTTCCACAGCAAAGAATCCCAACCAGATTGAAATGTCTGAAATGACAGACACAGAATTCAGAATATGGATGGGAAGGAAGCTCAACGACATTAAAGATAAAATGGAAATCCAATCCAATAAAATGAGTAAAATTATTCAATAGTCGCAAGATGACATAGCCATTTTCAGGAAGAACCAAACTGAACTTCCTGAATTAAAGAATTCACTACAGGAATTTCCAAATACAGATGAAAGACTTAACAACAGAATAGACAAAGCCAAGGAAAGAATTTCAGAGCACAAAGACAAGTCCTTCAACTCAACCCAGTCAGACAAAAGCAAAAAAAAAGGAGAGAATTATAAAATGATGAAAAGCTTCTGAGAAATATAGGATTATGTAAAGAAACCAAATATATGACGCATTGGCATTCTTGGGAGAGGAGGAGAAAGAGTAAGCAAGTTGGAAAACATATTTGAGGATACAGTTCACTAAAATTTTCCCAATCATTATAGAGAGCAACATGCAAATTCAATAAACTAAGAGAATCCTGTGATAAACTATACAAGACAACCACCACAAAGGCAAATAGTTATCAGAATTTTCAAGGTCAATGTGAAAGAAAAAATCTTAAAGGCAGCCAAAGATAATGATCAGATCCCTTACAAGGGGAATCCTATTAGTGTAAAAACAGACTTCTCAGCAGAAACTTCACAGACCAGAAGAGAGTGGGGGCTTATTTTCAGCATTCTTAAAGAAAAGAAAATCCAATAAAGAATTTCATATTCCACTAAACTAACCTTTATAAGTGAAGGAGAAACAAAATCTTTTTCAGACAGGCAACTGCTAAGGGAATTTGTTTCCACTAGACCAGCCATATGAAAGATTCCTAAAGGAGTTCTAAGCATGGAAACAAAAGAATGATACTTGCTACCACATAAACACGCTTAAATACATAGTCTGGAGACCCTATGAAGCAACTACACAATACAGACAACAAAGAAACCACCTAACAACCTTAAGATAGGATAAAATCTTTACATATCAATAATAACTTTGAATGTAAATAGTCTAAACACCCCAATTAAAAGGCACAGAGTGTCAAGTTGGATTAAATGCAAGACTCAACTGTCTGCTGTCTTCAAGAGACGCATCTCACATGTAACAATATGCATAGGCTCCAAGTAAAAAAATAGAGAAAGATTTATCATGCAAATAGAAAACAACAACAACAAAAAGCAGAGGTCACTATTCTTATGAAAGATAAAACAGACTTTAAACCAACAACAATATAAAGGGACAAATAAGGGCATTACATAATGATAAAATGTTAAGCAAGATGACTTAATAACCCTAAATGTATACACATCCAACATTGGAGCCCCCAGATTTGTAGAACAAGTACTTCTAAACCTATAAAAAACTTAGCCACACAATAATACTGGAGGACTTCAACACCACAATGAGTGAGCTACACAAACTATTGAGGCAGAAAACTAACAAAGAAATTCTGTACTTAAATTTGACACTTGACCAACTGGATTTAGTAGATATCTGCAACATAATCCACTCATCAACCACAGAATATACATTCTCCTCATCTTAACACAGAATGTATTCTAAGATTGACCACATGCTTGACTATAAAGCAACTCAATAAATTCAAAAGAATTAAAATCATATCAAGAATGCTTTTAGACCACAGTGGAATAAGAATAGAAATCAATACCAATGAGCTCTTTCAAAACCACACAATTACATGGAAAGTAAACTTGTTCCTCAATGACTTTTAAGTAAACAATGAAGTTATAGCCGAAATCAAAACATTCTTTAAAGTAAATGGTAACAGGCATGTAACATACCAAAATCTCTGGAATGCAACAAACACAGTGTTAAGATCTAAAGCAAAGAGTATGTCTTGAGATCTAAGGCTCAGCTGTCACCTCAGAATTTTTCTCTATTACTGTTTAGGTAGGATTTCTTGTTTCCTGGATTCTGTAGCTTTCCCTTTTATTTTTTGTTTTTTTCACTTGTTTTGGTGCAGCACATCTTCCAGTCATTCCCTAAGAAGGAACACACTGTGAAGGTACACTTTATGAGTCTTTGCATGTATAGTAATCTTTTCTTTGTCCTCACACTTGATTGACAGCTCATTTGGATATAGAATCTTAAGTTGGAAATAATAGTTCAATCAGAATTTTAAAGTCATTCTGCTGGCTTCCAGAATTGCTGCTGAGAAGTGTGATGCTCTAACCCATTATTTTCCTTTTTAAAATTCTACCTCTTCCTTCTAATTGTTATGGGAAGTATTTCGGTCCTTCTTTTTATCATTCACCTTCTTGAATCTCATGGTACTCTTTGTTTTAGGTCTTCTCTCATCTATGCTGCAGAGCTCTCATGAGATCCTTCAATCTAGAACATGTTCTTTTGTTTTTCTGACAATTTTTTTCTCTATATTTTCTCCTTCTGGAAATCTTACTGGTGAAAGTTGAACCTCCTGGATTGATAAAGTCTTTTATTTTTCTTTAATATTTTCTAGTACTTTGGGAGATTTCTTTAACTTTATCATCAAAATCTGCCATTACAATTTTTATTTTAACAACTATCTTTTTCATTTACAAGAGTTCTTTGTGTCCTTCATTGGTTCTTTTAGCATCTTGTTTTTGACTTTCAGGTCCTCTCTAAAGATAATTGTTAGACGATAATTTTTTTTTTATTTTAATCTTTTTATTTCAACCGACATTTGGGGAACAGGTGGTGTTTGGTTTCATGAATAAATTCTTTAGTGTTGATTTCTGAGATTTTGATGCACCCATCACCCGAGCAGTGTACACTGTACCCAATGTGTATTCTTTTATCCCTTGCCACTCCCAACCCTTTCCCCAAGTCCCCAAAGCCCAATGTATCATTATTATGCCTTTGAAGAGTCATTCAAAGCTTTCTGCATTGTCTAAGTTTGTCAGAAGAAGGCATTAGAGACACAAATGTCTAGAGGACTCAGAAAATTTTTCTTTCACATACATATGTGCTTTCTTTCATGTCTCTTAAACATATTACAGTCTTTATATACATTTTTATACTATGGCAAAAACATAATAACATGTCTCAATTGACACTTGGCTTTAAAGTCACAGAGACAAAAGAAAGAAGTTGCAAATTTGATTAATTAGATTAGATCAAGGCGGCCAAGGGCTTTAGAAGTAAAGAATCTAGAGGAAAGAGAGACTCAAGAAAAGCCTTTGATATCAGAAAAAACTGGGGAAGAGTTTTTAATATGTAGATTGCAAATTGCAAAATTGAAATGGCACAATTGAAAATCAGGCTATTAATAATTCCAGAAAAATGAAAATGCCATAAAATAAAACAAATGTAATCACAGTCACTAATTGGTGCTACAACTAACAATGTAAACATAATAACAATGTAAACACTAATTATTCACTTAGATAAAAGAGCACTTTTTTAAAAAAAAGAACTGAAATAATTTAAGGGGAAGCAATATTTAAAAAGATAATGGCTGAAAAATTTTCTAGAACTGATAAAGACAGGACTACAGGTCTAGAAACCACAGCACACCCAAGCATTTGGAAAGAAAGGGTATCTAAAAAGAAACAATAATTGTAATTACAACTTCTTTAAAACATTAACAGCTAGAATACAGTGAAATCATATCAAAGTTCTGAGAGAAAGTAACTCAATATAAATTACTGTACTGTTTTAAATTTTTAGTAATTGTGCCAAATTATTTTTTCCTCCCTATATCCCTATAACCATGTCCTTGTACACTCTCTTCCATATTGACTTTGGGGTTGGTTCTGTGATTTGATTTGACAGTTAGACTTTATCAATTCTGAGGCTTAAAAAGCACTTGATCATTGGGGCTTAGGTTCTTACCGTTGGAATCTCTACCTCTATCATGTGAAAAAGTCTGGGAGAGCTTACTAAAAGATAAAAACATATGGAGCAGAAACAAATAATCTCAAGTGAGATCCTCCTAGATCAGTTGTGGTAGACAAAATAATTCCCTCCCTAAACCATCCACATCTTAATCCCTGGAATGTATAAATATGATGCCTTACATAGCAAAAGTGACTTTAAATATATATGTGATTAAATTAAGGGCATTAGGATGAGGCCATTGTCCTGCAATATCCCAGTGGTCCTAATGTCATCAAAAATATCCCTAAAAGAGTCAAAAAGATGTGACAACAGAAACACACAGAGAAAAAAATGGGAGAAAGATGCTAATATTGCTGGTTTTGTAGATGGAGGAAAGACTCAGAAACCAAGGAATGTAAGTAATCCCTAGATGCTAGAAAATGTGAGGAGGTTCTTCCCTAGAGTCCCGAGAAATAGCACTTCTCCACCAGCATATTGATTTTAGCCCAGTAAGATACATTTTGAACTTCTGAGCACCAGAGCTATAAGATAAAAATTTGGGTTTCTTTATGTTTTTACTGTTTAAAAAATTTATCCGTCATAACTGTACATATTTTTGTGGGGTTTTTTTATTCTTAAAAAATTTTATGGCGGGGTGCAGTGGCTCACACCTGTAAAGCCAGCACTTTGGGAGGTTGAGGCGGGTGGATAACGAGGTCAGGAGATCGAGACCATCCTGGCTAACACGGTGAAACCCCGTTTCTACTAAAAATACAAAAACTTAGCCAGGCATGGTGGCAGGCGCCTTTAGTCCCAGCTCTCGGGAGGCTGAGGCAGGAGAATGGCCTGAACCCGGGAGGCAGAGCTTGCAGTGAGCCGAGATCGCGCCACTGCACTCCAGCCTGGGCGACAGAGTGAGACTCTATCTCAAAAAAAAAAAAAAATTATACATCATAACTGTACATATTTTTGTGGTACATGTGATAATTTGATATCTGTATACAATACATATAATTAAATCAGGGTAAGTGTGATATTCATCACTTCAGATATTTACCTTTTATTTGTGTCAGGAACACTGCAATTCTTCTCTTCTAGCTATTTTGAAATATACAAGAAATTATTGTTAACCATAATTTTCTATTGTACTATCCAACAATAGGACTTACTCCTAACTGTATTTTTGTATTCATTAACCAATTTCTCTTTATCACTTTCCTTTTCTTCACAGCCTCTGATAACCCCATTTACTCTCTGTCTTTATTAGATCCACTTTCCTAGTTTCTGCTTATGAATGAGAATATGCAGTATTTGTCTTTCTGTGCCTGACTTTTTTCACTTAACATAATGTCTTCATGTTCCATCCATGTTGCTAAAAATGACAGGGTTCTACTATTTTATTTAAAATTATTTTAATAATATTCATTGTATATATATATATATAACAATTTCCTTATCCATTCATTCATTGATGGACACAGGTTGATTTCAGATCTTGGCTACTGTGAATAGTGCTGCAAGAAAACATGAGAGTAAAGATATCTCTTTTATATACTTATTTTCTTTCCTTTGGATATATAATGCCTCGCAGTGAGTTTCATATGGTAGTTCTATTTTTAGTTTTTTGAGGAACCTCAATATCGTTTTCCATAATGGCTGTTCTACTTTACAGTCCCACCAAAAGTGTAGGAGCATTCTGTTTTCTTCACATCTTCGCCAGCATTTGTAATTTTCTTTTTTTTTTTTTATGATTTCCATTCTAGGTAAGGTGAGACATTTCATTGTGGTTTTGATTTGCGTTTTCCTGATGATTAGTTTTGAGTATTTTTTCATACAGCTTAGCCATTTGCATGTCTTTTTTGAGAAATATGTATTAATCTATTTTGTTTACTTTTTTTTTTTTTTTTTTTTGAGAAGGAATTTCGCTCTGTCAGCAGGCTGGAGTGCAGTGGCATAATTTCGGCTCACTGCAGTGTCCTCCTTCAGGGTTCAAGCGATTCTCCTCCCTCAGCCTCCTGAGTAGCTGAGACTGCAGGTACACACCACCACACCTGGCTAATTTTTGTATTTTTAGTAGAGAGGGGGTTTCACCATGTTGGCCAGGATGATCTTGATCTCTTGACCTCGTGATCCGCCCACCTGGGCCTCCCAAAGTGCTGGGATTACATGCGTGAGCCACCGTGCCTGGCCTTTGTTTACTTTTTAAAGGGATTATTATTTTTGCTATTGAGTTTGAGTGCCTTATATATTCTGGTTATTAATATCTTGTTATATAGTTTGTTAACATGTAATCCAATTTTGCAGGTGATCTCTTCACCATGTTCATTGTTTTTTGTTTTTTGTTGTGTGTGTGTGTGTGTTTACATGTGTGTGTTTTTCTGTGTGGAAGCTTTTTATTTTGAGGTCATTACAATTGTCTATTTTTGCTTTTGTTTTCTGTTCTTTTGAGATTTTACCCTAAAAATATTAGTTTCAAATTTTTATGCCTAGCATTTAAGTCTTTAGTCCATTTTGAGTTTACTAGTTTTACATATCAAAAGATGGGGATCTAGTTTTATTCTTTTGAAAGAGATATTCAGTTTTCCCAGCATCATTTTATTAAAAAGGCTATTCTTTCTCCAATGTATGTTCTTGGTGCAATGCCGAAAATGAGTTGGCTGTAAGTTCATGGACTATTTATGTGTTATCTATTCTGTTCCATTGTTCTGTGTCCGGTTTGTATGACATGCTGTTTTGGGTATGACAACTTTGTAGTACAGTTTGATATCAGGCAGTGCAATACCTCCAGCATTGTTCCAGCATTGTTTTTTTTTTTTTTGTGCAGGATTTTTCTTTTCTTTCTTTTTTTTTTTTTTTTTTTTTTTTAGCAATTTGTGGTATTTTGTGGTGAAATTTGGGTTGTTTTATTTTTTGTATCTTTTGTTTTAATTTCGTGGGTATATAGTAGGTGTATATATTTATAGGTACATGAGATGGTTTGATGCAAGCATGCAGTATTAAATAATCACATCATGGAGAACGATGTATCAATCAATTCATTTTCCCTTTGTGTTACAAACAATCCAGTCACCTTCTTTTAGTTATTTTAAGATGAAAAATATTATCAACTGTAGTCACCCTGTTGTGCTATAAAATACTAGACCTTGTTTATACTTTAATTTTTTTTTGTGCCAATAAACCTTTGCCACCTTTCCCCAACTCCTCACTACACTTCCCCACCTCTAGTAACCATCCTTCCACTCTCTTTCTCCATGAGTTCAATTGTTTTGACTTTTAGATCTTACAAATAAGTGAAAACATATGACATTTGTTTTTCTGTACCTGTCTTATTTGACTCAACATAATGATCTCCATTTCTATCCATGTTGTAAGTGGCAGGATCTCATTATCTTTTACGGCTGAATAGTACTTTATTGTGTATATGCACCACATTTTCTTTACCTGTTCATTTGCTGATGGACACTTAGGTTGCTTCCAAATCTTAGCTACTGTGAACAGTGCTGCAACAAACATGAGAGTGCAGATATCTCTTCAATATACTGATTTCCTATCTTTTGGGTATATACCCAGCAGTGGGATTACTGGATTATATGGTAGCTCTAGTTTTAGTTTTTTGAGGAACCTCTACACTGTTATTCATAGTGGTTGTACTAATTTACATTCTCAACAACAGCTTACAGGAGTTCCCTTTTCTCCACATCCTCACTAGCATTTGTTACTGCTTGGGCTTTTTTTATATAAGCGATTTTAACTGAGATGAGATAATGTAGTTTTGATTTGGATTTCTCTGATAATCACTGATGTTGGGCACCCTTTCCTATGTTTATTTGTCATTTGTATGTTTTCTTTTGAGAAATATCTATTCATATCCTTTGCCCAGTTTTTAGTAGAACTATTTTATATATATATATATATATTTTTTTTTTTTTCCTATAGAGTTCTTTGAACTTCTTATATATTTTGGTTATTTATCCCTTGTCAGATAAGTAATTTGCAAATATTTTCTCACACTCTGTGGGTTGTCTCTTCTTTTCAAGACTGTGTCCTTTGCTGTGCAGAGGCTTTTTAACTTGATGTGATGCCATTTGTCCATGTTTGCTTTGGTTACCTGTACATGTGGAGTATTGCTCAAGAAATACTTGCCCTGATCAATGTCTTGGAAATTTTTCCCAAAGTTTTCTTTTAGTAGTTACATAGTTTGAGATCTTAGATTTAAGTCTTTAATCCGTTTTGATTTGATTTTTGTATATGGTGAGAGACAGTGTTCTAGTTTTATTCTTATGTATGTGGACATCTAGTTTTCCCAGCACCATTGATGTAAAAGACTATCTTTTCCCCAGTGTATATTCTTGGCACTTTTGTTGAAAATTAGTTCACTGTAGATGTGTGGATTGTTTCTGTGTTCTCTATTATATTTCATTCTTCTATGTGTCTGCTTTTTTTTTTTTTTTTTTTTTGAGACGGAGTCACAATCTCGGCTTACTGCAAGCTCTGCCTCCCAGGTTCAAACCATTCTCCTGCCTCAGCCTCCCAAGTAGTTGGGACTACAGGTGCCCACCACCGCATCCGGCTACTTTTTTGTATTTTTAGTAGAGACGGGGTTTCACCGTGTTAGCCAGGATGGTCTCGATCTCCTGACCTCGTGATCCTCCCTCCTTGGCCTCCCAAAGTGCTGGGATTACAGGCGTGAGCTACCGCACCTGGCCCTATGTGTCTGTTTTTATGCAAGTACCATGCTGCTTTGGTTGCTATAGCTCTGTAGTATAATTTAAAAATAGGTAATTTGATTCCTCCAGTTTTGTTCCTTTTATTCAGGATTGTTTTGGCTATTCTGGGTCTTTTGTGGCTCTATATAAATGTTAGAATTTTTTAAAAATATTTTTGTGAAAAAGGTCATTGGGATTTCAACAGGGATTGCCTTGAATCTGTAGATTACTTTTGGATAGTATGGACATTTTAACAGTATTAATTCTTTTAATTCAGGAACATAGAATATTTTTTTCAATTTCTTTTATCAATGTTTTATAGCTTTCATTATATCTATCTTACACTTCTTTGGTTAATTTCTAGGTATTTGAATTTATGTGTGGCTATTGTAAATGAGATTACTTTTTCTTTTTAGATTGTTCAGTGTTGGCATATAGAAATGCTACTGATTTTTGTACATTGATTTTGTATCTTACAAATTTACTGAACATATCAGTTCTAATCATTTTCTTCTGTGGTCTTTAGGATTTTCCAAGTATAAGATCATATCATCTGCAAACAAGATACATTTGACTTCTTCCTTTCCAGATTAGATGCTTTTTATTTTTTTCCCTTGTCTGAATACTCTAGCTAGGGCTTCCATACTATGTTGAATGACACTGGCAAAAGTGGGCGTCCTTATCATCTTCCAATCTCATAAAGACTCAGTTTTTCCTCATTCATTATGACACTAGCTATGGGTCTGTCATATATGGCTTATATTATGTTGAGGTGTGTTCCTTTAATAACCAGTTTTTGAAGGTTTTTTTTTCATCATAAAGGGATGTTGAATTTTATTAAATGCTTTTTCAGCATATATTGAAAGGAACATATTGTTTTATCCTTCATTATGTTGACATGATGTATCACATTGATTGACTTGCATATGTTGAGTCATTCTTGCATCCCAGGGATAAATCCCACTTGGTCATGATGAGTGATCTTTCTGAAGTATTGTCGAATTTGGTTTGCGAGTATTTTTTTGAGGATTTTTGCATCAGTATTCATGAGAGTTATTGGCCCGTAGTTTTCTTTTTTGAATGTGTCTTTCTCTGGTTTTGGGCAATACTGACCTCCTATAATGAGTTGAGAAGTATTTCCTCCACCTCTATATTCCGGAATAGTTTGAATGGGATTGGTATTAGTTCTTATTTAAATGTTTGGTAGAATACAGCAGTGAAGCCATAGGGTCCCGGGCTTTTCTTTACTGGAAGACTTTTTATTATGGCTTTGATCTTGTTGCTTCTTGTTAGTCTGTTCAGGTTTTGGATTTCTTCTTATTTTGATTGTGGTATGTGTCTAGGAGTTTATCCATTTCAAGATTTTCCAATCCATAGTTACATAGTTGCTCATAGGAGACACTAACGCTTCTTTTAATTACTGTAATATCAGTGGTAACATCTACTTTTATATGTCTGAGTTTATTTGGATCATCTCTCTTTTATTCTTACTCTGGTTAAAATTTGTCAATTTTGTTTTACAATAAACCATTTTTATGTTTCACGTTTCATTATCTATTGTATTGTTTTCTTTATGTCAATTTCCTTTATTTCTGTTTTGATTTTTATTTTTTCTTTTCTTCAGCTAATTTTGGGTTTGGTTTGCTGTTGCTTTTCCAGTTCTTTAAGATGCATCAGTAGATTGTTTATTTGAAGTTTTTCCTTTTTCTTGATGTAGGCACTTGTAGCTATTCAATGCCCTTTTATTGCATTTGCCATATACCATAGGTTTTTGTATGCTTTTTTCCATTATCATTTGTTTCAATTTTTTCAATTTTTTCTTAATATTTTATTGACCCACTTGTCATTCACAAGCATGTATTTGTATAGTTTCAAAAATTCCTCGTTTTTAATTTCTAGTTTTATTTTATTGTGGCAAGAGAAGATGGCTGATGCAATTTGAATTTTTTTTGAGTGTTTTAAGACTTGTTTTGTGACCTAACATGTGGTCTATACTATACCTAACATAGATCCATGTGCTGAGGAAAAGAATGTGTATTCTGCAGCCATTGGATGAAATGTTCTGTAAATACATATTATATCCATTTGTTCTATAGTGCAGATTACGTCTGATGCTTCTTTTTTGTCTGGAAGATTTGTTCAATGCTGAAAAGTGTGATGTTGAAGTCTCCAGCTATTGTGGTATTCAAACTTTTGTCTCTCTTTAAGCTCTGATGATATTTTTTAATTCTATCTGGTTGCTTCAGTGTTGGGACCATATTTATTTAAATTTGTTATATCCTCTTGCTGAATTGACCCCTTTATCATTATATAGTGACTTTATTTGTCTCTTCTTATAGTTTTTGTCTGAAAATTTATTTTGTCTGATATAAGTATAGCGACTCCTGCTATATTTTGGTTGCCATTGGCATGAAATATTTTTCCATCCCTACGTTTTCAGGATATATATGTCTTTATAGGTGAAGTGTGTTTCTTATAGGCAGCAGCTCAATGGGTCATTTTTTTTTTTTTCATTCATTCAGGCAGTCTATGCCTTTTGATTGGTGAGTTTAGTACATTTTTATTTTTATCTATTTTATTATTTATTTATTTATTTATTTATTTACTTACTTATTTTGAGAGGGAGTCTCGCTCTGTTGCTCAGGCCGGAGTGCAGTGGTGCGATCTCTGCTCACTGCAAGCTCTGCCTCCTGGGTTCATGCCATTATCCTGCCTCAGCCTCCCTAGTAGCTGGGACTACAGGTGCCCGCCACCATGCCCAGCTAATTTTTTGTATTTTTAGTAGAGACGGGGTTTCACTGTGTTAGCCAGGATGGTCTTGATCTCTTGACCTCATGATCCACCCGCCTTGGCCTCCCAAAGTGCTGGGATTACAGGTGTGAGCCACCGCGCCGGGCCGAGTTTAGTACGTTAATATTCAATGTTACTATTGATAAGTAAGGACGTACTCCTGCCACTTTTTGTTGTTGTTTGTTTGCTTTAAGGTTGCTTTGCGGTCTTTCTCCTCCTCTCCTCTCTTCTCCTCTCCTCTCCTCCCCTTCCCCCTCCCACCTTCTTCCCCCTCCCCCTCCCCTCTCCCCTCCCCCTTCCCCCTCCCTTTCCCCCTCCCTCGCCCTCTCCCTCCTTCCCTCCCTCTCTCTCTTTCTTTCTTTCTTCCATATTTTCCATTAGTGAAGGTGGTTTTCTCTTGTAATATGTTTTAGTTTCTTGCTTTTAATTTTTTTGTGCATCCATTGTGTGTTTTTTAGTTTGAAGTTACCATGAGGCTTGCAAATATTATATTATAACCTATTATTTTAAGCTGATAACAACTTAACACTATAACATAAAGAAACAAGCCAAAAGAAAGCCGATAAAAATTCTACGTCTTAACTTTGTTCCTCCTCTTTTATGTTTTGTTGTTTTGATTTATATCTTCTTGTACTGTCTGTGTCTTGAAAAGTTATTATTTTTGATTGGTTTATTATTTAGTCTTTGTGCTTAGGACAAGAGAGTTTACTCACCAGAGTTACAGTGTTATAATATTATGTGTTTTTTTGTGTGTGTACTTAACTATTACCAGTGAGTTTTGTACCTTCAGGTGATTATTTTTTGCTCATTAACATCCTTTTCTTTCTGATTGAGGTACTCCCTTTAGCATTTCTTGTAGGACAGGTTTGGTATTGATTAAATCCCTTAGCTTTTGTTTGTCTAGGAAAGTCTTTGTTTTTCGTTTATGTTTGAAGGATATTTTTGCCACGTATACTATTCTAGGGTAAAAGGTTTTCGTTTTTGTTTTTGTTTTTTACTTCAGCGCTTTAAAGATGGCATGCTACTTACTCTCTTCTGGACCCTAAGGTTTCTACTAAAAAGTCTGCTGTCCGTCATATTGGAGCTCCACTGTATGTAATTTGTTTCTTTTCTCTTGCTGTTTCTAGGATCCTTTTTTAAAAAAAAATTCTTGATATTGGAGAATTTGATTATTAAATGCCTGGGGATAGTCTTCATGGGTTAAACCTGTCTGGTGTTTTATAACCTTCTTGTATTTGGATGTTGATATTTTTCTCTAGGTTTGGGAATTTCTCTGTTATCATCTTTTAAAGTAAACTTTCTAATTCTATCTCTTTCTCTACCTTCACTTAATGGCTAAATAACTCTTAGATTTGCCCTTTTGAGGGTATTTTCTAGATCACATAGGAATGCTTCATTGTATTTTATTCTTTTTTCTTTTGTCTCCTCTGACTGCGTTTTCAAATAGCTCTTAAAACTCACTAATTCTTTCTTCTGCTTGATCGAGTCCACTATTAAAAGGTTCTGATGTGTTCTCCAGTATGACAATTGAATTTTTCAGCTCCAGAATTTCTGGTTGATTCTTTTTAATTATCCCAAAGTTTTTGTTAAGTTTACCTCATAGAATTCTAAATTCTTTCTCTGTGTTATGTTGAGTCTCTTTCAGTTTTCTCAACACAGTTATTTTGAATTAACTGTTTGAAATGTCACATACCTCCTTCTTCAAGATTGGTCTCTATTTATTTCATTTGGTGAGGTCATATTTTCCTGGATAGTGTTGATGTAAGCAGATGCTCTTTGGTGTCTGGGTGCTGCAGAGTTACATACTTATTTTAGTCTTCACTGTCTGGGCTTGTTTGTACCTGTCCCTTTTGGAAAGGCTTTCCAGATATTTGAAAGAACTTGGGTGATGTGATCTAAGCTTTACCTGCTTTAGAGGGAAACCCAAGCTCAGGAACTCTGTGGTTCTCGCAGACTCTTGGAGATACCACCTTGTTGTTCTTAGACTAGATCTGGACAGGTTCTCTGGATTACCAGGCAAAGGTTGTTGCTCTCTTCACTTGTTGTCCACCAAACAAAGTCTCGCTCTCTCTCTCTGTTCTAAGTGACATAAAGCTGGCGATGGAGTGACATCTGGCACACCTGTGGTCAACACCACTATGACTACACTGCCTCAGACCTGAAGCCAGCACAATACTGAGTCTCACTCAAGGCCTGTTGTAACTCCTCCCTGACTACTGCATATATTTGTTCAAGGACCTGGGCACCTACAATGAGCAGATGGAAAAGGAAGCCAGGCCTGTCTTTTTTCCTTTAGGGCAACAAGTTATCCCAGGCCCTGAGTGGGTCCAGGTGGCAGCTGGGAGTCAGAAACTACTAGAGTCAAAAGCTTTAGAAATCCACCGGTGTTCTATTGTACTGCAGCTGAGGTGACACTCAAGCCACAAAATGCCTAGCCACCCCCACCACAGGCCATGGGGAATACTGTCAGACTACCACTGATGCAACCTTAAATCCCAAGCGTTATTAAGTCATCTTGTGGTAAATGCTGCCTGGCATAGAACTTACTCTTTTGGGACAGTGGGCTCCCCTGTGGCCCAGGGCAGGTGCAGATATGCTGCTCAAGTATCAAATCCTGGAATCAGGGCCTCAAGTGCTCATTTGGTGCTCTACCCTCCTGTGGCCATGCTGGTGCCTAAGGTGCAAGAAAAGTCTCCTTTCTTTTCCCTTTGCTTGAGCAGAAGGAGTTTTGCCTTGTAGCCACCACAGCTGGTAATGTGCTGAGTCTCGCCTTAAGCCAGCAAGTTTTAGAGCTCACTCAAAGTAATCAAGGTAGTACTTGAGTATCCCTGCTGGTTATTCAAGGCCCAAGGGCTTTTTATTTACCAGTTGATGAATGCTGCCAGGACTGAGTCTTTCACTTAAAGTCAACACATTTTCTTTTATTTCACAGTGTGTCTAGAAAAGTCATCCAGGAGCTAGTGCCTGGAATGGGGTCCTCCAAACCCTTGCTGGTGCCCTATCCTGCTGGGGCTGAGCCAGTATCCAAGATACAAGACAAAGTCCTCCCCACTCTTCCTTCTCCTCACCTGAAGCAAAAGGAAGAGGCCTCTTTTGGACCCATGAGCTATGCAACCTGGGGTTAGGAGAGGGGTGATGCCATCACTCCCTTAGCTGGCCCAGCTGGGCTGAAGTCTCAGTAAGTCACCTGCTCTCCTAGTCCACTGTCTCTCGGCCCAGTTCAGCACTAGGAATCACCTAAGAGTGGCAGTCCTTATGGCCTAGATTGCCTTTCAAGTTTTCTTACAGACCCAGAGTAGTTTAGCCCTTGGTGGCGAGGTTTGAAGGAACTCACCTTCCAACTGCTGGTATTAGAGATTCCCTTCTGGCTGGGGCTGCTTTAAATGCTCCCTTCATGGACAGGCATCAGCTGAGTTTGATCCGACTTTCCTTTGTGCTGTAACAGGACGGCACTGATTTCAATGCCTTGCAATTGCCATGCCCTTCCTTCCCTAGTGCCCAGAGATGCTCTTCTTACCACCACACTGCTGCTGTTGGCGGTGGTGAAGGGGTGGCATCGGGATGCAGAACTTTTTTTTCTACCTCTTCAGTGCCTCTTTCAGTGATATGAAAATAAAACCAGGTACTGTGAGAAGTCACCTGATTTGGGGTTTTTATGAAGGTGTTTTTTTCTGTGGAGATAGTTGTTAAATTAGTCATTGTGGTGGAGGTGATCAGTGGAGCCTTCTATTCTGTCATCTTGCTCCGCCTCTTTCTTTGATTTTAAATCACTGTTTGCTAATTTGTTACAGCAGCAGTAAGAATTAAAATCCTAAATGTCTCTCAGCCAGAAATGTCAGAAGACACTAGTCAATATTTGAAGACATTTCTGGTTGTCACAATTTTGGGAGTTACATGGCATGTAATAGAGAGAGGCTGTGAATATCATAAACATTTTACAATGCATAGGAAAGTCCCACGAAATATAAAATTATACAACTCAAAATGTCAAAAGTTCTGAGATTTCCAATTCTTATCCTAGGCTAACATTCCCAAGCTAATCCACAAGCTGAGCACAGCCACATGATTAACCTCAGATGAGATCAGCAAAAGAACCATCCCACTAAACATAACTCAAGTTGATGATTCATATTATGATCATCTGATAAAATATATGGTGCTGTTTTGTGATATAAAAGCAGACAACTGATACATATACCCAGAAAATCAATACATTTAAAATAATGGTGGAATAAGGATATTTTCAGGCAAAGAAAAAAGGAAAGATAGTGTACTAAATCATCTTTCTAAGGATTAACAGCTGATGTTAGACGAATAGTTTGAGATGCAGACTAGTGATGAAATACAATGATAAACAGGTGTGTAAATTCAAACGATTTTTTTTTGAGACAGCATCTCACTCTGTTGCACAGGTTGTGCACCGCCACACCCAGCTTTTTTTTTTTTTCTTTTTTTTTTTCTTTTTTTTGTATTTTTAGTAGAGACGGGGTTTCACCATGTTGGCCAGGTTGGTCTCAAACACCTGACCTCAAGTGATCCACCCACATCGGCCTCCCAAAGTACTGGGATTACAGGCATGAGCCACCGTGCCTAGTCTCAAACTAATTTTTTAATTAATAAAAATAATTTGTAATGCATGATGTTAGAGAAAAACAAAAATAAAATAGGAGACAAAAGTAGTACATGAATCAGGATGCAAATGTTTTGGATTAAAGGGTTCTGAGTTCTTTATACTATTCTAAAGGTGAGGCAAGATAAATTTACTTTTTTATATCTGTGTTGTTTTGCTTGTTTTCATGTTTTCTGCATTTTTTAGGTTGATTGAGATTTGTGATTGTGCAATTATGTAATTACTGATACATTTATTTTGGTAAAAATTCAATGAAAATTACTTAAATAATGAAGAAGATAAATTCCAAGTAAGTGGAAAATATGGGAAAAGAACAAAAGTAGACAAAAACTAAATAGATAAAAAGCCAAGCATATAGAAAATGCAGAAGAAATACAAATAAAATTAGAATGGCAGAAATAAGCCTCATAATAATAATGACCATTGCAATAAAATATACGTAGATTACATTCACCAAGTAAGTAAGAGATAATCAGACAGCATTGTAAAGGCTATAGCTATAAAGGTCTTTACAAGAGACAGTTCTTAAGTATAAAGATGCAGATGGGTTACAAGTTAAAGCATGAAATAGGTATACTAAGAAAATACTAATTAAAAGAAAGCTAATATCAGACAAAATCATTATTAAGAACAAAGAGAGTTGCAAATAATGATAAAATTTTAATTACCAAAATATAACAAGTCTAAGCTTCTTATAATGGTTAATTTTATGTATCAACTTGTTTGAACCAATGTGCCCAGTTATTTGGTCAAATATATCTCTGCATGTCTCCAGGAAGATAACTTTGGACGAGATTAACATTTAAATTGGTGGACTTTTAGTAAACAAAATTGTTCTCCCTAATATGGGTGGACCTAATCCAATCACTTAAACTGGATAGAACAAAAGACTAACCTCCCCTGAGCAAGAGAAGATTCTTCCAAGACACGAACTTTGGACTTGAACACCAATATAAGATTTTCCCTGGCTCTCCAGCCTGATGGCTTTCAGACTGGAGCTGCAACACTGGCTTCTCCCCGGATCTCCAGCCAGCAGCCCCTCATGCAGATTTTGGTTTTGCCAACCACTATAATCACATGAGCCAATTTCTTAAAATAAATCTGTCTCTCTTTCTCTCTGTCTCTCTCTTCATTTATACATGTGCATGTAGACACACACATACACACAGAAATACATTCTATTAGCTCTGTTTCTCTAGATAATTTGATATACTTATTCACCTAATAAGTTCTCAAAATATATCAAGCCATAATTGATATGTTGATAGGAAAAAGTTGAAATAACATGCCACAATAGTTGGAGACTAATTCTACATTATTGATAGATCAAGTTATCTAAAAGGCTGTGTATGTAGGGAAAATTGTATAAATATATTTAACAATTATAATATAATTAACATATGTAGCATTCTGTACCAAAATATTAGAGAAGATACATTATCCTCAAACATACAAGGAAGACAATTTAAAAAATTCACATTTTAGATTATGATGTAAACAAATTTCAACCAAAAAATCATAAGTAACATATTTGCTACCACACTACAATTAAGATATAATCAATTAAGCACATTCCCTAAAAAGTCATATTTATAGAAATTTTAAAACACACAATAATTTCTTGGTCAAAAAATTAGTTGTAATGAAATTTTAAAACTATGGAGAAAAGAAAGATAATAAAAATATTACTTATAAAACTTTTCAAGACGCAGCAGCAAAATGTTACTTTTAGCAACATTTATAATCTTAATGATAAGTATTAAAAAATAACAAACACTAAAATATATACCTAACTTCAGAAGTTTGAAAGTAATAAAAAAATCAATGTAAAGAAAGTAGAATAAAAGAGAAAATAATGAGAATATCAAGAATCTATCACACAGAAAATAAATGCTTCATAGAATAAGAATCCACAAAGCCAAGAGTTAGTACTTTTAAAAGTTTAATAATATGGAAAACACTGGTCAAACTGATAAAGAAAAATAAGAGAAAGGGCATATCAAAAAATGTTAGGAACATAAAAAGGCACATAAGTACAAATAGAGCAGATATTTAAAGACAGTAAGAAATTGTGATATATTTTCAGCAATAAAATGAAAATTCAGTCAACTGAGATATACTTCTCTTAAAATGTCATATATAAAACTGACTGAAAATAAAACATAGATAGTTTGAATTATCGTGCACCTACTAGAGAAACTGAGCAAAAATGAAATTCTACCTCAAATGGTTTTACTTGAGTATTCAAATAATGTTTTAAGAAAAAGGTTACTTTATTCAGTAATATTAATGTAGACTGTTTTAGACTGATTCTGCCAGTATTAATAACTAGAGAAGCATTACCCAATGTAGACGACATATACTTAATAGTGTCACAGAGTTACCAAGTTTTCCAAGGATTTCAAGACCAAGATCTCACAGGAAAGGGAAGCACATTGAAGTCAGCCCAATATTCTGTAGCAATTTGTCCCCAGTACATTTTCCATTCCATAATTGACAGGAGGCTAAGAGGCTAAGAACAAGTTGAGAGGAAAACAAGAGAAAGCTACAAGCAAAGGGTTGGGAAGCCAAGCATAGCTCTTAGCAATCTCACAGAGTTGGAGAGAAAAAAATACTGCAGTTAAGGCTGAGAAAATAGGATGAATCTTGGTAATAAGATTGCTGCAATCAGCAAATAAAAGTCCAGCATGCCTCGATAAATTTGAACTTCAGCTAAATAGCAATTATTTTTTAGTGTAAGCATGTACCATGCAATACTTAGGACATACTTTAACTTGAAATTATTTAATGTTTATCTGACTTCCATATTTAATTGGCTCTCCTGCATTTTATCTGGTAACTCAACTTGATCAACATACCAGATAACCAGTTTGAAAGTTTTAAGAGCCTATACTTCAGAAATGAGGACAAACCAAAAATATACCAGCCCTAACAGACTATGAAATCAGGACAAGAAAAAAAAACAACAATAACAAAAAAAAAATAAAGAATTGAAATAAAACTCTCATTAGTCACAAACACATTTCTGTGTATGTTCAAAATAAAAATAATCAAATAAATTATTGAGTGAATGTGAATTTATTAAGGTCAGTGGATGCAGATTAACTGATCAAAAATGATTTTTAATAAGCAACAAATCTTCAAAATGTACAATTTTCAATGTGACCAAAAAACATAAAATTCCAAGGATGACATATAAGAAAAAGATGTACAAGACAGCTACACTAACATTTTAAACACCATGCAGAGAGAAATTTAAAAGTCATACATAAATGAGGAAATATACTGTGTTCAAGGAATGGAAAATTCAGTATCTTTCTCAAATTAACAAATAGATTCAATAGGATACCAATCAAAATTCTAACGCTTTTTGGTGCAAATTGAAAAATGGATTCTTAACCTAATATTGAAATTCAAAGCACCAGAAACAGCTAAGTAATTCTAGAGACAGAAGGAAAGAAGGAAGGGGACGACCACACACAAAAAAATAAAAATAAAAAATAAAAAGTTGGCAAATCTATGCTATGACATATTAAGACTAGTTATGGCCAGGCACGGTGGCTCATGCCTGTAATCCCAGCACTTTGAGAGGCCAAGGTTGGCGGATCATGAGGTCAGGAATTTGAGCCCATGGCCAACATGGTGAAACCCCATCTCTACTAAAAATACAAAAATTAGCTGGGCATGGTGGCAGGCACCTGTAATCCCAGCTACTCAGGAGGCAAAGGCAGGAGAATCACTTGAAATCGGAAGGTGGAGGTTGCAGTGAGCCAAGATTGCTCCGCTGCACTCCAGCCTGGGTGAAAGAGCAAAACTCCGTCTCGGGGGAGGAAAAAAAAAAGAGTAGTTGTAAAACTGAAGCATATAGCATTGTAACAAGGACAGACAAATAGACCAATAGTAAATTGTCGAGTCCAGCAACAACTCCACATATTATGGATATTTAAATCTATGACAAATGTATTACTATGGAACCATAGACAAAAGATGATCTCTTTGGAGCATGACTTCAGCAAGATGTTGGGCTAGGAAGCTCCAGGACTTAACTTTCCCATGGAAGCATCACGAGAACAATATGTAGGCCAAAATAGTTTTTTAAGAATGCCAGAAACCAGCTGATATAGTTTAGATGTTTTTCCCCACCCAAATCTCATGTCGAAGTGTAATCTCCAATGTTGAGAGTGGGGCCTGGTGGGAGGTGTTTCGGTCATGGGGGTGGATCTCTCATGGCTTGGTGCTGTCCTGACAATAGTCAGTGAGTTCTCACGATCTCTGTTTGTTTAAAAGTGTGTGGTACCACCTGCCTCTCTCTCTTGCTTCTACTCTTGCATGTAATATGCTGGGTCCCCCTTTGCCTTCTGCCATGATCATAAGCTTCCTGAGGCCTCACTAGAAGCTGAGCTCATCCCCAGTGCTATGCTTCCTGTATAGTCTGCAGAGCCATGAGCCAATTAAACCTTTTATCTTTATAAATTACCCAGTCTCAGATAGTTCTTTGTAGCAAGCAAGAATGGTCTAACACAGAAAATAGATACCAAGGAGTGGGGTATTGCTATAAAAATATCTGAAAGTATGGATGTAACTTTGGAACTGGGTAGTGGGCAGAGGTTGGAAGAGTTTGGAGGGCTCAGAAGAGGATGGAAAGATGAAAAAAAATTAGAAAGTTCTTAGAGACTGGTTAAATTGTTGTGAGCAAAACCCTGATAGTGATGTGAGGGAAGCAGGAGCCTAGGAGAACCAGAGTGACACCATTTTAAAATCAACTTCATCTTAAAACTAGCAAGGCACATTTCTTTTCAGTCATGACCCATGGTCTTAGAATATTTATGGTTGAGGATACAGCCTAAAGATACCTACAAGGACACACTCCTACAACAGAAGAAAGTCCAGAGGTCCCAATACTCATAATAATATATGTTTTCAAGGTAACTATAGGTATGCTTTGTTTTACTTGCATGCTAAATTGTCGAGGGTAGTTTTCCTTAAATCAATACAATAATAAATTTTGTCATGCTGTCACCCCACCTGCACATAGGCATACCTTTGATTAGCTTTTTCATAAGCAATACCCATATATATAGAGAGAGGTTGCATTTCTCCACTTACTTTCTAAGGATGGCCTACTCTGTAACGGAGTAGCTTTTAGTAAACCATCTCTTTTCACTATACTTTGAGACTCACCTTGAATTTATTCTGGCATGAGATCCAAGCATCTTCTCTTGGGGTCTGGATCAAGACCTTCTTTTCAATAACAGTGATATGGACAGTGAAATCCAGACTGATGAGGTCTCCAATGAAAATGAGAAACTTTTTGGGAATTGGAACAAAGTTCGCTAGTGTTATGCCTTAGCAAAGAACTTGGCTGCATTGTGTTTATGTCCTAGTAATTTTCAGAGGTTTGTACTTAAGAGTGATAACTGGGTGCAGTGGCTCACACCTGTAATCCCTGCACTTTGGGAGGCCAAGGAGGGCAGATCATGAGGTCAGGAGTTTGAGACCATCCTGACCAACATGGTGAAACCCCGTCTCTACTAGAAATACAAATTTAGTACCAAAAATACAAATTTAGCCAGGCATGGTGGCACACGCCTGTAATCCCAGCTACTCAGGAGGCTGAGGCAGGAAAATCATTTGAACCTGGGAGGCGGAGGTTGCAGAGAGCAGAGATCACGCCACTGCACTCCAGCCTGGGCGACAGAGTGAGACTCTGTCTCGAAGGAAAAGAAAAAAAAGAGTGATAATTTAGATCGAGTATGGTGGCTCAGGCCTGTAATCCCAGCACTTTGGGAGGCCAAGGCAGATGGATCACCTGAGGTCAGGAGTTCGAGACCAGCCTAGACAATGTGGAGAAACCCTGTCTCTACGGAAAAAAATACAAAAATTAGCTGGGCTTGGTGGTGCATGCCTGTAATCCCAGCTACTCAGGAGGCTGAGGCAGGAGAATCACTTGAATGTGGGAGGCAGAGGTTGCAATGAGCTGAGATCATGCCACTGCACTCCAGCCTGGGTGACAGAGCAAGACTCTGCCTCAAAAAAAAAAAAAAAAAAAAAAAAAGACTGATAATTTAGAGTATCTGTCGGAAGAAATATCTAAGCTGCACAGCATTTTAAGAATTAGCCTGGCTTCTTCTAACAGCCTATGATCAGATATGAATGCAAAGAAATGACCTACAATTGGAACTTATATTTAAATGGGAAGCAGAGCATTAAAGTTTGTAAAATTTGCCGCCTAGCCATGTGGCAAAGAAAAACCTTTTACAGGGGAAGAATCCAAACACACTGTGGAGCAATCATTTGTTAGAAAGATTTGCATGACTGAAAAAACAGGCCGGTGCTGGTAGCCAAGACAGTGAAAAAAAAGGGCCTCCAAGGCATTTCAGAGATCTTCCAGGTAGCCCCTCCCATTATAGGCCCAGAGGCCCAGAAGGATTGAATGTCTTGGGGGGCAGGCCTGGGGTGCCACTGCCTTGTCCCATGCCAGGAGTCTGCTCCTTACATCATGGATGCTCTGGCTGTAGCCTCGGCTCAAAGGGCTCCAGGTACATTTCATGCCACAACTCTGGAGCACGCAAGCTGTAAGCTTTAGTGGCTTCCACATCGTGTTAAGCCTTCAGGTATGCAGAGTGCAAAGAATGAAGGAGGCTTGGCAACCTTTGCTTAGATTTCAAAAGATGTATGGAAAAGCCTGGTAGGCAGAAGCCTGCTGCAGGGGTGCAGTCCTCACAGAGATAATCTACTAGGGTGGTGCCACTAAGGCAGAACACAATCAACAGTAGGAAAAGACAACACACCTAATAAGACATAACATCTACAAGTTATATATCTGGTAAGATATGTTAATATACAGAATATATGGAGAACACCTACAACCCAACAACAACAAGGAAATCCTGAAAACAGCCTAATTAAGATATATGCAGGCCAGGTGCAGTGGCTCATGCCTGTAATCCCAGCAGTTTGGGAGGCCAAAGCGGGCAGATTGCCTGAGCTCAGGAGTTCGAGACCAGCCTGGGCAACACGGTGAAACTTCATCTCTGCCAAAATACAAAAAATTAGCTGGGCATGGTGGTGTGCACCTGTAGTCCCAGCTACTCGGGAGGCTGAGGCAGGAAAATTGCTTGAATCTGGGAGGTGTAGGTTGCAGTGAGCCAAGATTGTGCCACTGCACTCTGGCCTGGGTGACAGAGCGAGATTCCATCTCAAAAAAAAAAAAAAAAAGATATATGCAAAACACTTGAAAATATAGAAATTGTCAATAATCATAAAAAGTGCCTGATGTCAGTAATTGTTGGATAAATGCAATTCAAAACCACAATGAGATACGACTTCATACCTATTAGCATAGCTACCATCAAAAACATAAAATAACAAGAGTTTGGAAGGATGTAGAGAAATTGGAATTCTTCCACATAGTTGGTGGAAATGGAAAATAGTGTAACAGGTAAGTAAAATAATATGGTGGCCCCTAAAAAATCCAACATAAAATTGCCATAAAATACAGCAAATCCTTATTTTGGGTATATACCCAAATAATTGAAAACAATGACTTGAAGAGATGTTTGTGTACCCTTGTCGTTAAAAGTATTATTCACAGTGGCCAAAATGTGGAAACAACTCACGTGTCCATCAGTGATTAAATGGATACACAAAACATGTATACACATCTAGTTAAAAACTGAGTGTATGTGTGAAAAAAACCCAAAGGTCTAAATGAATGAAGGCATACTTCATGCTCATGCATACTAAGACTCAATTTTGTAAAGATATAAATTATTTTCTTTTTTAACTTTCATTTTGCATTCAGGGGTACATGTGCAGGTTTATTATATAGGTAAATTCATGTCATGAAAGTGTGTTCTACAAATCATTCATTTCATCACACAGGTATTAAGCATAGTACCCATTAATTATTTTTTCTAATTCTTCACTTTCTTCCACCCTTCATCCTCTTGTAGGACCCAGTGTCTGTTGTTCCCCTCTATGAGTCCATGTGTTCTCATCTTTTAGCTCCCACTTGTATGTGAGAACATGTAGTATTTGGTTTTCCATTCCTACATTAGTTTGGTAAGGATAATGACCATTCCATCCATGTTCCCGTGAAGGACATGATCTCATCCCTTTTCATGACTGCATAATATTTCATGGTATATATGTACCCCCATGCTCTTGATCCATTCTATCATTGATGAGCATTTAGGTTGATTCCATGTCTTCATTATTGTGAATAGTTCTGCAATGAACATACACATTCATGTGTCTTTATGGTAGAAAAGTTAAATTTTCTATCCATACTAGTGTATAAACATGTTATGAATGTGCAAATGATCAGGATAAGAAGAACAAATGTTAATACATAACTTCAGTTATTACAGTACTCTTAGATTATATTGATGGTTTACCTTGTTTTTCCACATTTCTTTTGAGGAACTGTTTCTCATCCCTCCACTTTAGCTATATAGACAGAATAGAAATTGCCTTTGTTTTATGTGACCCTACTACTACTACCACAGGCATCATTCATAGTCAAGGAATGGGCACATAAATGGAACTGAGACAACTAGCCTTTTTTGAGATTTTTCTAACTGGAGGTATCAGTAAAGAGTCTTTTTCTTTCTAGTCAGAAAGACATAAGAATATAAGAGCTATTGGTGGATATTTTCTTCAATTTATAGAGAAAGCCAGTCTTACAGAATAAAACACACTGAAGAGAAAATGTAAAGGCTGAAGACACCTCTGAAATATATATATTTTAATAATTTTTGGGGAACAGGTGGTGTTTGGTTACATGGATAAGTTCTTCTGTGGTGATTTCAGAGATTTTGGTGCATCCAGCACCCAGGAAGTATACACTGTACCCAATGTGTAGTCTTTTGTCCCTCACCTCTTTCCAACCCTTCCCCCTGAGTCCCCAAAGTCCATTGTATCATTCTTATGCCTTTGCATCCTCATAGCTTGAGCTCCCACTTACAAGTCAGAACATGCAATGTTTGGTTTTCCAGTCCTGAGTTACTTCACTTAGAATAATGGTCTCCAACTCCATCCAAGTTTTGGTGAATGGCATTCTTTCTTTCCTTTTTATGGCTGAGTAGTATTCCATGGTATATATATTCTACATTTTCTTTATCTGCTTGTTGATTGATGGACATTTTGGCTGGTTCCATATTTTTGCAATTGCAAATTGTGCTGCTATAAACATGCGGGTGCAAGTGTCTTTTTCATGGAATGACTTCTTTTTCTCTGGGATTGCTGGATCAAATGGTAGATCTACTTTTAGTTCTTTAAGGCATTTCCATACTGTTTTCCATAGTGGTTGTACTAGTTTACATGCCCACCAGCAGTGAAAAAAGTATTCTCTTTTCACCAAAACAACACCAACATCTACAATTTTTTTTCATTTTAATTATGGCTATTCCTGCAAGAGTAAGGTGGGATTTCATTGCAGTTTTGATTTACATTTCCCTGATCATTAGTGATGCTAAGCATTTTTTTGATGTTTCTTGGCCATTCCATCCATGTTCCTGTGAAGGACATGATCTCATCCCTTTTCATGGCTGCATAATATTTCATGGTGTATATGTACCCCCATGCTCTTGATCCATTCTATCATTGATGAGCATTTAGGTTGATTCCATGTCTTCATTACATTTTGAGAACTGTCTATTCATGCCCACTTTTGACGGGATTATTTGGTTTTTGTCTTGTTGATTTGTTTGAGTTCCTTGTAGATTCTGGATACTAGTTCTTTGTTGCATACAGAGTTTGAATACATTTTCTCCCACTCTTTGGGTTGTCTGTTAATCCTGCTGATTATTATTATTATTATTTTTTTTGCTGTGAAGAAGCTTTTAATTAAGTCTCATCTATTTATCTTTGTTTCTATTGCATTTCTTTTTGGTTCTTGGTAATGAACTCTTTGCCTAAGTCCATGTCTAGAAGCGCTTTTCTGATGTTATCTTCTAGAATTTTTGTGGTTTCAGGTCTTAGATTTAAGTCTTTGATCCATCATGAGTTGATTTTTGTATAATGTGAGGGATGAGGATCCAATTTCATTCTTCTAAATGTGACTTGTGTATTATCTCAGCACCATTTGTTTAATAGGGTGTACTTCTCCCACTTTATGTTTTTGTTTGCTTTGTTGAAGATCAGTTGGCTGTAAATATTGGGCTTTATTTCTGGGTTCTCTATTCTGTTTCCTTTGTCTAAGTGCTTATTTTTATACCAGTACCATGCTGTTTTGATAACTACAGCTTTGTAGTATAATTTGACATCTGGAATGTGATGCCTCCAGATTTGTCCTTTTTGCCTAGTCTTGCTTTGGCTAAGTGGGCACATTTTGGTTCCATATGAATTTTAAGATTGTTTTTTCTAGTTCTGTAAAGAATGATGATGGCATTTTGATGGGAATTGCATTGAATTTGTATATTGCTTTTGGCAGTATGGTAATTTTCACAATATTGATTCTACCAGTTCATGGACATGGGATGTGTTTCCAGTTGTTTGCATCATCTATGATTTCTTTCAGTAGCGTTTTTGTAGTTTTCTTTGTAGAGGTCTTTTACTTCCTTGGTTAGGTATATTCCTAAGTATTTTAATTTTTTTTTTTTCAGCTATTGTAAAAGGGAATGAGTTCTTGGTTTGATTCTCAGTTTGGTCGCTGTTGGTGTATAGCAGAGCTACTGATTTGTGTATACAGATTTTGTATCCTGAAATTACTGAATTCATTAATCAGACCTAGGAGCTTTTTTAATGAGTCCTTAGGGTTTTCTGCGGATAGGATTATATCATCAACTAACAATGATGGTTTGACTTCCTCTTCACCGATTTGAAGGCCCTTTATTTCTTTTTCTTGTCTGATTGCTCTAGCTGGGACTTCCAGTAATATGTCAAATAGAAGTGGTAAAAGTGGGCATCCTTGTCTTGTTCCAGTTCCATGGGGAATGCGTTCAACTTTTCCCCTTGCATTATAATGTTGACTGTGGGTTTGTCACAGATGGCTTTTTTTTTTTCTTTTACCTGAAGATATGTCCCTTCAGATTTTGCTGAGGGTTTTAATCATAAATGGATGCTGGATTTGTAAATGCTTTTTCTGCATCTACTGAGATGATCGTATAATTTTTGTTTTTAATTTTTGAACAATATTTCTTAAGTCGGTTCCTACCCATAACACACCCCCTTCTGAGGAAATAATTCTTATTCTACACTCAGCCTCCTTTCAAGGAGAAAAGTCTTGGCTGTTATACACTGGAACCTGTTAACCATTTTACTGGCCACACTCAACCTATGACTGGAACACCTGGCTCAAAGGCAGTCAATCTCCACTGTCTTCAATGTCTTATAATGTTGCCTGACATAAAAATTTGTATCAGATGAGAGGTGATGAACTAGGTAGCCAAACTACTAAATATGGAGAAAGACTCTTTCAGTTGCTAGCAATAAGAAAGGCTGAAGGTGACTCATAGAGAAGTCAAGTTATGAGTAAGCAGAAGTGGTAAATACAAAGGTATTATGAAAACAATATATAGAGAAAAAAGTTGGACTGTGTAAAGACTGAAGTAATCATTGGTAGTAACAAGTACAGGAGAAGCAAAGACAAGAGAAAAGGAATTGCCAGAATGAAAGATGTTTAATACAGGCCACCAAGAGATAAATATGACAATTATTATCCCAAAAGATTGGGCACTCTCAGTTCCTAAATTGCATTTCATCTCCAGTTATGCAGTCATACAATTGATTTTGCAATCCTACAAAATTGCTCTTTCCTTTACCAACATATGTGGCATTTATCATTTATTAAAATAATTTAAGTGGATTTCTATTCTTCTTGACAAAAATAAACTAAGTATGACAGTTCTATATTTTTGTTCTATCTAATGCAATTCTGAATTATTTACAAATGCATATGGTTTGATAAGACTTCCTAAGAAAATATCAAGGAACCAAATATTTATAAGAAATATACCCGTGCACCAAACAATTAAGAAACCATGGTTTCTATTAAGGTGTACAACTGTTATGGTAAAAAGTTTGAGTTTTTTATTTTTAAATATGATTTTTTTCTTCTTAAGGTTGTGAATATTATTTCAGGATTTTCTATTTTGTTTCTATTTTTCAATACATTACTTCAAAAGCTATCTTATCTGACTATTGAATCTGAAACTCTGCTAGACTTGGCAAAATATATTACAGAGCATATGTTCATTGGGACTTCATTATCATTTTTTTTAACTTTTATTTTAAGTTCAGGGATATGTGTGCAGTTTTGTTATATAGGTGAGCTCATGTCATGGGAGTTTGTTGTACATATTATTTCATCACCCAGGTATTAAGCCAGGTACCCATTAGTTATTTTTCCTGATCTTCTCCCACCTTCACCCTCAACCCTCCAGTAGGCCCCAGTGGCTGTTGTTCCCCTCTATGAGTCCATGTGTTCTCATCATTTAGCACCCACTTATAGGTGAGAACACATGGTATTTGGCTTTCTATTCCTCCATTAGTCTTCTAAGGATAATAGCCTCCAGCTCCATCCATGTTTCTGCAAAGGACATAATCTCATTCTTTTTTGTGGCTACATAGTACTCGAAGGTGTATATGTACCCCATGCTCTTTATCCAGTCTAGTCTACCATTGATGTGGATTTAGGTTCATTCCATGTCATTGCTACTGTGAATAGTTCTGCAATAAACATACATGTGAATATGACTTTATAACAGAATGATTTATATTCTTTTGGGTATATACTCAGTAATGGAATTGCTGGGTCAACTGTTAGTTCTGTTGTTAGGTCTTTCAGGAATGGCCAATGTGTATAACCATTCCTTTTTCTTTGCAACTTTACCTGCATCTGTTATTTTTTGACTTTTAATAATAGCCACTCTGACAGGTGTGAGATAATGTCTCATTGTGGTTTTGATTTGAATTTCTCTAATAATCAGTGATGAGCTTTGTTTCACATGCTTGTTGGCAACATGTTTGTCTTGTTTTGAAAAGTGTTTCTTCATGTCCTTTGACCACTTTTTAATGGCATTGTTTGTTTTTCTATTGCAAATTTGTTTGTTTCTTATAGATGCTGAATGTCAGATGCATAGTTTGAAATAATTTTGTCCCATTCTGTAGGATGTCTGTTTACTCTGTGGATAGTTTCTTTGGCTGTGCAGAAGCTCTTTAGTTTAATTACATACCATTTGTCAGTTTTTGCTTTTGTTGCAATTGCTTTTGACATCGTTATCATAAAATCTTTGCCCATTTCTGTATCCAGAATGGTATTGCTTAGGTTGTCTTCCAGGGTTGTTATAGTTTTAAGTTTTACATTTAAGTCTTCAATCCATCTTTAGTTAATTTTTGTATATAGCATAAGAATGGGATCCAGTTTCACTCTTCCGCATATAACTAGCTAGCCAGTTATTCCAATTATTGAATAGGGAGTGTTTTACCCATTGCTTGGTTTCATGAGCTTTCTAGAAGATGAGATAGTTGTAGATGTGTGGCCTTAATTTTGGGCTCTCTATTCTGTCCCATTGCTCTATGTCTGTTTTCGTACCCATCCCATGCTATTTTGGTTGTTGTAGCCCTGTAGTACAGTTTGAAGTCAAGTAGTGTGATGCCTTCAGCTTTGTTCTTTTTGTTTAGGATTTCCTCGGCTACTCAGAATGTTTTCTAGTTTCATATAAATTTTAAAATCATTTTTTCTAGTTCTGTGAAAAATTTCATTGACAGTTTAATAGGAATAAAATTAAACCTATAAATTGTTTGGGCTGTATGAACATTTTAATGATACTGATTTTTTCTATACATGAGAATGGAATGTTTTTCCATTTGTTTGTGTTATCTCTGAGTTCTTTGACACGTGTTTTGTAGTTCTCTTTGTAGAGTTCTTTCATCTCCTTGGTTTTCTGTATTCCTTGCTATTTTATTTTTCTGTGGCAATTGTGAATTGAATTGCGTTTCTGATTTGGCTCTCGGCTTGACTCTTGTTGGTGTATAGGAATGCTAGTAATTTTTGTGCATTGATTTTGTACCCTGAGACTTTGCTGAAGTTTCTCTTATCAGCTTAATACGCTTTGGGACTGAGACCATGGGGTTTTCTAGATATCTAATCATGTCACCTGAAAAACAGGGATAGTTTGACTTTCTCTCTTTTTATTTGCATGCCCTTTATTTCTTTCTCTTGCCTGGTTACACTGGCCAGGACTTCCAATACTATGATGAATAGGATTAGTGAGAGGTCATCCTTGTTTTGTGCCAGTTTTTAAAGGGAATGCTTTCAGCTTTTCCCTATTAAGTATTATGTTGGCTGTGGGTTTTTCATAGATGATTTTTATTATTTTGAGGTTTGTTTCTTCAAATCCTAACTCATTGAGAGTTTTTAACATGAAGAGGTATTGAATTTTATCAGAAGCATTTCTGCACCTGTTGAGTTTTTGTCTTTAGTTCTGTTTAAGTGACAAATCACATTATTGATTTGCGTATGTTAAACTAACCTTGCATCCCAGATACAAAGCCTGCTTGATCATGGTGGATAAGCTTTTTGATGTGCTGCTAGATTCAGTTTGCCAGTACTCTCATTGAGGATATTTGTATCAATGTTCATCAAGGATATTGACCTGAAGTGTTTTTTGTTGTTGTTGTTGTTGTTATGTCTCTGCCAGGTTTTGGTATTAGGATAATGCTGGCCTCAAAGAATGAGTTAGAGAGGAATTCCTCCTCCTTAGATTTTTTTTAATAGTTTCAGTGAGAATAGTACCAGCTCTTCTTTGTACATTTGGTAGAATTCTTCTGTGAATCTAACTGGTACTGGGTTGTTTTGGTTGGTAGACTATTGCTGGTTCAATTTCAGTGTTCATCATTGCTCTGTTCAGGGCTTTAATTTCTTTCTGCTTCAGACTTGGGAGAATACATGTAATCAGGAATTTATTTATGTATTCTAGATTTTTTAGTTTGTGTACATAGAGGTGTTCATAATATTATCTGATGGTTATTTGTATTTCTGTGGGGTTAGTGGTAATATCCCCTTTGTATTTTCTAGTTCTGTTTTTTTTTTGGATCTTCTCTCTTTTCTTCTTTTAGTTTATCTAGAGGTCTATCTATTTTTTTATTATTTTTTTTAAACTCCTGCCTGCATTTGTTGATTTTTTGAATCGTTTTTGTATCTCAATGTCTTTCAGATTTTATTTTGGTTATTTTTTGTCTTCTGCTAGCTTTGGGGTTTCTTTGCTGTTTGTTTTCCAGTTCTTTTAGTTGTGATGTTAGGTTTTTAAATTGAGATCTTTATAAATTTTGATGTGAGCACTTAGTGCTATATATTTCCCTCTTAATACTGTCTTAGCTTTGTCCTAGATATTCTATTATGTTGAATCTTTGTTCTCATTAATTTCATAGAACTTCTTGATTTCTGCTTTAATTTCTTTACTCCAAAATCATTCAGGAGCAGGTTGTTTAATTTTCATGTCATTGTATAGTTTTTAGTGATTTTCTTAGTCTTGAATTCTATTTTTATTGCACTGTGGTCTGAGAGTGGGTTTGGTGTGATTTTGATTCTTTTGCATTTGCTGAGGATTATTTTATGTCCAATCGTGTAGTCGATTTTAGAGTACATATGATGTGCAGATGAGAAGAATGTATATTCTATTGTTTTTGGATGGAAGTTCTGTCAGGTTCATTTGATCCCATGCTGAGTTCAGGTCCTGAATATCTTTGTTAATTTTCTGTCTCAATGATCTGTCTAATATTATCAGTGGGCTGTTAAAGTCTCCCACTATTATTGTGTGGCAGTCTGTCCCTTTGTAGGTTGCTAAGAACTTTTTTTATGAATCTAGGTACTCCTATGTTGGGTGCTTATATATTTAAAATAGTTAAGTCTTCTTGTTGAACTAAACACTTTACTATTATGTAATGCTCTCCTGTGTCTTTTTTTATCTTTTTGAGTTTAGATTATTTTTTCAGATGTTAAGATGCCTACCCCTGCTTTTTGGTTCTTCATTTGCTTGCTAGTTTTTCCCACCTCTTTGTTTTGAACCTAAGGGTGTGAGATGGGTCTCTTGAAGACCACATACCATTGGATCTTGGTGCTTTATCCAGTTTACCACTCTGTGCTATTTAATTTGGGCATTTAGTCTATTTACATTCAAGGTTAGCATTGATATTTGTGGATTTGATCCTGTCATTAAGATGTTAGCTGGTTATTATGCAGACTTGTTTGTGTGGTTGCTTTATACTGTTAGTGTTCTATGTATTTAAGTGTGTTTTTGTAGTGACTGTAGTGATTTCTCCTTTCCATAGTTGTTACTTCTTTCAGGAGCTCTTGTAAGGCAGGTCTCATGGTAAAGAATTCCCTCAGCATTTGCTTTTCTGAAAAGGATCTTATTTCTCCTTTGCTTATGAAGCTTAGTTTGGCCAGATATAAAATTATTGATTAGAATGTCTTTTATTTAGGAATGTTGAATTTTTTCCCCTTAATTTCTTTGGGCTTGTAGAGTTTCTACTGAGAGTTGTGTCATTAGTCTGATGGACTTCTCTTTGTAGGTGAACTGAACTTTCTAGCTAGATTTAACATTTTTTCTTTCATTTTGACTTTGGGGAATCTGGAGATTATGTGTGTTGGGAATGAACTTCTAATGAAGTACCTTACTGGCATTCTCTGCCTTTACTGAATTTGAATGTCAGCCTCTCTAGCCAGGCTGGGGAAGTTCTCATGGATGACATCTTGAAATATGTTTTCCAAGTTGCTTCCATTCTCTCAATCTCTTTCAGGGGCACCAATGAGTAGTACATTTGATCTCTTTACATAATCCTATATTTGTCAGAGGTTTTGTTTGTTCCATTTCATTTTTTTCCTCCATTCTTGTCTGAGTGTCTTATTTCAGAAAGCCTGTCTTTAAGCTCTGAGATTCTCTCCTCCTCAGCTTGGTCTATTCTGCTGTTAAAATTTGCAACTGCATTATGAAATTCATGTAGAATGTTTTCAACACTATCAGGGTGGTTGCATTCTTTTCTATACTGCGTATTTTGTCTGTCCGCTCTTGTATTGTTTTATTGTGATTCTTAGCTTCTTTGTATTGTGTTTTAACATACTGCTGCACATTGTTATCTCCATTTCTATCTACATTTTGAATTCTATTTCTGTCATTTCAGCTATCTCAGCTCAGTTCAGAACCCTTGCTGGAGGATTAATGCAGTTGTTTATAGGAAAGAAGGCAGTCTGACTTTTTAAGTTGTCAGAGTTCTTGTGCTGGTTCTTTCTCATCTTTGTGGGTTGATGCTCCTTTAATCTTTGAAGTTGCTATTCTTCCGATTTTTTTTCTTTTATCTTTTTTGATGTCTTTGAGGGTTTAATTGTATAAAATGGATTCAGTCTGCTGGTCACATTTCTGGAAGACTTTAGGGGGCCAAAACTCAGCTCCCAACTCTTGGCTTATGTGTTCTAAACCTTGGGTACTTGTATCATGCCCTGATTTATTTCTCTGGCTCCTGGAGTTTAGAAGCCTGCTGCACTAGGGGGAGCCAATGTGCTTCTGGACCACTGGTCACTACACGCTGATGGGTGATGCCAGCCAAAGCATTTCATAGGGTGGTGGCAGTAAAATTCACTCTTGTTCATATGTGCCAGCAGTAGTGGCAGGGCAGCAAAATGCATAATCATGATCTGCAGCAGGGTGCTAATGGGTTCAAGGGCATTTGTCTCCCCATGGGCATTCACAGCAGCAGCAAAGGCAGCATGGCTCTGGGATGGCAAGGAACTCCCATTGTCTACTGTGTGAATGGTCACACTGGAGATGATGTTAACAGGGTGTTGGGGCACTTGCAGACGCAGTTCTGTGTGCACCTTCTGTGATTGCTCAGGGTGGAGAAGGGCCCACTGCTCTTGGTGCCTAGTTTCACTCAGGCACAGTGTTGCCACAATGGCAGCTTGTTGGCTGGAGCAGGCCTGGGATGCTCTGTGCCCGCCAAGGTCTTGATGCAATGGTGGGACAGGGGAATGGGGTGCACTTCAGGTAGCAGCAGAGCTAGGGCAGGGTACACACTCACATGCGTGCTGGTGGGACAGGGAAGGTAAACCCTATGCATGCACACACTGGCAAAGGGATGTGGAGGATTGCGGTGGGCCTGGAGAAAGCTGTACTATGGGGAGTGATCCGGCGGGCTGGTGCATGGCTGTGAGGCTCTCCCACTGGAGATCTCTGCCAGCCAGGCATAATCCACCAGTGCAGAAGCTATGATGCAGAAACCCTGGGCACCCAAGGCTGCCCTGCAAGCAGGCATTACCAAGCTGGGGCCTCAGTAGCAGCCAGTATAACAAGGGATGCTCAGGCCAGACTCGTTCTGTCTAATGGGCAAGACTGCTCGACAGAATTTAGGTTTGACAGCTCTCCCAGTGCTAAAGTCTTCTATGGAAACAAGTTGAGCCTGTGAGGGATGGACATCCCTGGCCATGCTCCACTACAGATGCTCCCACACAAAACCCTGTGGGCTCTGCACTGGCTGAAGTTCTGCCCCTACCATTTCTCTAAGCAGCTTTCTCTGCCAACTCAAGTGTCTATAGTTGCAGAAGGGTCTCTTCCTGCCAGGATTCCAAAAGTCTATGGGGAGAGTGGGCTGCTCCTTGGCAGTTCAAGTCATTGGCTGCCCCAGAGTCACTGGGAGCCCAGAATGAGTCCCTGTCTTTGGTAGCACTATGCAGGATTCCCAGCTTCCTCCCACTTCAGGCTAGCTTCTGTGTCTTTCCTCCATCCACTGTCAGTGCCTTCCCCTCTGAATATCTGTTAGGAGTGCGCCAGTCATCCCCAGCCCTCTGTGGCATCTATTCCACCTGGCTGAGTCTACTCGGCCATCTTGCTCAAATCCACCAGAAGACTCTATAAAAATATATGCTGAGTAATTATGGTAGGATCCTTGATTCCAGCAATTCCACTTTCAGGCATTCAATAGAAATGACAACATATGTCCATACAAACACCTGTACACATATGTTCATTATAAATTATAAGAGCCAAATACCTCAGCAGCCAGCCCCCAACCAGTACATGAGGCAATCCAAGCTCCCATTTTTGAATCTGATGCATACTTTCTCTCTCTTTTTTTTTTTTTTTTTTGACCAAGTCTCACTCTGTCGCCCAGGCTGGAATGCAGTGGCATGATCTTGGCTCACTGCAACCTCTGCATCTTGGTTTCAAGCAATTCTCTGCTTCAGCCTCCTGAATAGCTGGGATTGCAGGTGCCTGCCACCACGCCCGGCTAATTTTTTTGTATTCTTAGTAGAGACGGGATTTCACCATCTTGGCTAGGTTGGTATTGAACTCCTGACCTCGTGATCCACCCACCTCGGCCTCCCAAAGTGCTGGGATTACAGGCATGAGTCACTGAGCCCAGCTTGATACATACTTTCATTGAAATGTTGGTAAAATAAATGTGGTGTCTTTAGTGGGATAAAAATTTCACACAATTTTTAGATATGTATGTATATTTGTGTATATATATATATATACACACACATACACAAATACACTCACATATATATTCATATTTATACATATATACTTTATATGTATACATAAAAGATCTTGACAAAAATCAAGTCAAAAATGACATAAGAAGTCTATTTTATTCATTTATTTATTTTCAGGATCTATAAATCATTTTATTGAAATTGAACAAATAGCACAATAGTCTTTCTAGGCTGGGGGCCACCCTCCGCAAGCCATTTCCCACACTCTAGAAGAACAGATCTTGCACAGTATTTTTTTTTAAGTTACCTCTATATAGAAATCAGACTCTGCCATGACATCATCGTGGACTATTTACAAACCTTCATATTCCTTTTATGATTTTTCCCTCCTTTCTTTTCATACCCAGCGGCTCCAGTACTTTCCCTTGACTCATCCTGAAGGGGTGGAGGTTACTGTAGGGGAAGGGGGTGGTAGGCTACTCATAACTATTGGCACCAGCCTTAGGATGTTGTCCCTTACCACAGGGTGGTGAATAGTTCCCTCCCAATTGGAAGGGTAGAGGCCTTGGTGCAAAGGCATGGGGGATTAGACAGAATAGGTGGGTTGGAGTAACTCCCTATAGACACAAGCATCCACAGCCTGTCCTGACCCCAGCCTGCACCCTGTCAACTCCTCAACTGGGGGTGGGGGGGCAACAACTAGTTGTAGTAGGGGGATCAGCCCAGCCCTTGGTAGAGGGTGAAGACCCTGTCCAGTCCCCACTCCTATCAACAGCCAGCAAACTGTCCATCCATCTGAAGGTGGGAACAGATGGCAGGTAGGTGGGAAGAATCAGGCTGGCACTGCCCCCAGCCTCTGTCCAACATGGGAGGAATTAAGTAGCAAACAACAGCTGAAATGCTCTGACTAGGGGTTAAAAGGGAAGTGAAGGAAAGGAAGTTCCTAATTGTATACAGCACCCACAGCCTAGGAGCTGGAAGAAGGCAAACCTTGCTTATAAAGTGCTGTAGCTTCTAGCAGGGTTAGGCCCCAGGCAAACGTGGAGGAAAGCAGACCAGGCAAGGAACCAGGTACTGGGCATTCCTGACTGGTATATGCCCTGCCATGCTTCTTGCAGGGGTGGCTGGGGAGAGTAGGGGGCTAACTCTGCCATTAGCCTCCACCAGCCACCAACCACCTCTTGTCCACACACAAACCAACACCCAACCAATATCACAGGACTGAACCACTCACAGCTGAAGGTTATGTGCCAACAGAGGTTATTCAGAGTTGTGGCCCCAGCCTGGGCTCCTTAATGGAAGCCACACCTTGAGCCTGGGAGTTTCTTGCTGGAGCAGGAGGTGCTATTGTCTGCTTCCGAGGCTCACATCTCATAGAGGATCAGAGGGAAATCCACATGGATGCAGGAGTTGGGGGCGGTGGTTCCAGGAAGTCTATTTTATAGTTAAATACAACTAAGAAAAGCAAATAGTAATAAATAAAAACATGGACTATCATAAGTGATTATTTTATTACAAAATATTGTAAATTTGGTATATTAAAAATGAAAGATGAAATCTTTCCTACTTTAATAGAATAACTGGTAGTGGACTTGCCCTCCTTTCAGAAAAAATTACAAAACTGGAAAATACAGATAAAATACTGTCTGCAGACGTTGGCAAACATGTAGCATAGAACCGTAATCAGTGAAGGGATAAAAGAAGGTAAGCACCACAATACCCCAGACAGAGAAATAGGAAAGGTAAACTCAGGAAAATACCAGTCATCTCCCTGGATTGAGAAGACCAGAATTGAAATTTTGGAAAGTTTAGATGGCTAAACTTTGGAATTTGTGGTGTAGAGTACCAGAGTTGAAGGAATAGCACAGTGGAAGAGCTTCACAAATCTGCATAGAAAAGCCTTTGAATTTTTTGCTCAATAAAAAGCTGTGCGTGCATAAGATGAAATTCCATGAGGCAAGACATAACTGGAAAGTCCTGACTTGAAGAATTCCCAGAAATTACACAGAGTTGGGAAACATTTAAATCCTGGCCAATCAGGTTGAAAAAACTCTTTGTATGATAGATTTTTCAGTAGAGAAGGATTAAACTGATCTGTAAGTAACTTAACTGCCTGTCTAAACATAATTCAAATCTAGCTAATGTAGGAAAACAAATTTAGACACTCAACACCATAATATTCACTGATATCTACCATTCAGTAAAAAATTATTAAATATGCAAAGAAGCAGAAAATTATGATGCATAAAAGTAAAGTGATGGAGAAACATATGCCATGCTAACAACACTAACAAGAAGAAAGCTGCAGTAACTATATTAATTTCAGACAAAGCGGATTTGAGAGTAAGGAAAAATATCGAAACTAAAGAAGGGCATTACATAATGATAAAAGAATCAATTCTCCAAGAAAGTATAACAATCCTTAATATGTATGTGCTTAACAACGAGCATCAAACATGTGAATATGTCTCATACAATGAGTCTGATGTTGTCTCGTAAAAAGTGTGGCAGGATTTGGGTTGAAATTAACACTTGATATTTTACTTTTCAGACTCTTTTGCTTTTTTCCAGTCTTAGCATTCAGTTAGCCAGTAGCATCAACCCCTACTATTTACTCCATGTGGGTGAGGTAGGGCAGGACATTATGGCTATTTCTGTTCCATGGGGTTTTAAATTAACATTCCTATGTCTTCTTAATATCTTAAAATACATTCTCTAGCATATTTATGGTGTGCATGTTGCAAGTATTTTAAAGAGAACTCAGGGAATCACTAGACTTGAAATGTCTCCTCAGTGTTTAACCTTTAGTTTTCTTCAAGATTTGAACTACAGAAGTTTACCTAGGCAATCTCTTCCTACTCTATAGCATATGCAGCTGGTTTTCTAAAGCAAGTATTCAAATAAAATTTGTTATATTTTCTCCTAAATATTTCACTAACACATACTTCTATAGCATGTGGTTAGAAAAAAAAGGCCTAAATGAAAATCAATTTACTGTTTAACATTCTCCTGAGACATGTTTATAAATAGATATTAAAAGGTCCTAAGATGATAAGCGTGTGATAAGTGTGTGTGTGCATGTAAAAGGTAAACTTTTTGGACTTATCTGTTGTAGATTTAAAAAGCAGGCTCTGTCTCTCTAACATGCACGTACACCCCCACACACACATACACTCTTAGGTTTCATGCCACAATATTGTCATCATTAGCCTGTGTGCAAGCTAAGCTGTGAGAGAATCAATATATCCTTGAGAGATTGTACTTATTTTATGCTTGCTTCTTCTGCTAGCATCATAGTGTTTGTTCTGAGTGTCTTATAGAATTTATGAATTATCTATTTCATATAAATATGAGCTAATTATTTCTTTTTCTGTTTTTAATGGAAACCGTTGAGAAATGTTTCCAGTTTTGTGGGTACGATGCAAAAAAAAAAGAGTATAGCAGAACAATGAGAAATTGTATTTCAAAGCAAGGTAAATGGTATTACTGTGTCAAACAAAATTTTCTTAGTAAACGGGTATTGTCTTTGTGGTCAGCATGTGGCATTAACGATGAGAAAGGGCAAGTTTAAATATGTAATTAGTTATTGAACCAAAGTGTGAAACTATGTGTCCACACGAAAAGTTTAATTACACATTTAAGGGATAGATTATCTGTACTATGCAATTTTGCTCTTTAAGTATAAAGAACGCAAAGATGATAAAAATATTAATCTTCGTAACCATTAAAATCATGCTATTAGTGGCTTCTTTTAGAAATAACGGAATATGTGGTAATCCTGCCCTTACATTTTTGAATGGAAATAATTAACTGCAGCAGAGCAGAAGTGGCACTTTGGAAATGAAACCATGATCTTTGTAGTAAAATACAGTTTAGCATAATTTCCACCACTCCTTGTTACATTTCTGACACTGAAAGATTTTTAAATCACTTTTCGGCATAGTATCATGAACCAATTAAGATAAAGAGATGCTGCTGATAAAAGTTAAGTAATTATTTGGGGGATGAACTAAATATTAGAAAAAGAATCAATTTGAAGTCTTCACAAGCAGAAAAAAACTGCAAGAAGTATTGCTAACTTTGAAGATAGCCATATATTATGGATCACAAAAACACTACAAAATTTTTTAAAACTGTCCATTCAACATTTGCTATAAATTATAATAGTCACATGATTACTTCCGAGTCTTCATATGTCAATGGCCGTTTCAAATAATGCTTTTAGGCTTTAGAAACATAGAAAATAAAGTGTGTTTATGAAAAGATTGCATTATTTTATTGTGGAAGAAATTACGGGAATGTTTAGCTATTTGTCCTTTGAGTATGCTGCTCCGTCTCACATAAGCTCCTTTCTATCCTTCAAGCAAAATGTTTATATTAACTTTGTCCTATCAAAAATTTCTATCTCTTGTTGTTCATTGATATATCATGTTTCTCATTTAAGAAGAATTAATATGCAGTATTCATTCAGTATATGGAATATTTCGTGTTATTATTGTTCCTCATGATTGAATATCTCTTGTAATGTTCCTGGGGAGAATAGCCAGGGTAGTAGTGAAATAAAAATTGGCTAATTACTGACAGCTCAGATGGTTGAAACTCATGGTTGAGATGATTATCTGTGTAGCTTAATTGTGTGCTCTCCTTGGACCTCCTTCTGTGGGTAACTGAAAATCTGCTATGTGATTTCTTTAGCATAAATACTATATGCAGCTGTTAAATCATGTTGCCAAACTTCATTTTTTTTCTTGCTCTTAAAAGGGAATGCTAGTAGAAAAGGTTTGTTGTAATGTAACTCACTTCACTTGTGTAAGTGTGTTTTTCAGATGTAAATTGTTTAGGAGATTTCTGAAGCTAGGTGACTCAAAAGTAGATTTTTATAATACCTTAACAAAATTACCAAATGCCTGCTTTAAAGCAAAAGAACATACTGCATCATGTTTTAGAAAAAAAACTTTTGAAACAATAAGTACTCTGAGCACCTAAAAGGACAGTTTAAGCAAATTTTTTTACTTTGAAAATTTATGCAAAACATCAAAACACAGCTGTTTTTCCTCAGAGATTGAATACTATTTGGCTATGTATTCCTTGGCAAGTTATATAAGATTGGGTTTCCTTGAATCATTAGGATTTAATGACAACTTCTTTATACCACATTCACTTTAGGCAACAAAATCCCCCAAAAGTACAGAATTTTGGAATGCCATGAAATCATCTTTCCTTAAATATAGCTACCAATTGATGAACGCAGATCTTTCGGTTATATCATCAGTACCTTCTCAAGCTCAAATTACACTAAATTACTGTTCAAATCATCCTAAAAGGAGACACTAGCTGTCAGTTAAATAAACCATTAGGTTTAACGTAAAATGAGTCAGATGGGCACGATTAATCAGTTTTCTTATTATTGCTGAGCTCTACCTGATTTCTAGACCCATTTTACCAAAGTAATTGGTAGATTTTATTATGAAGACTGGACAACTCCACTTTTAGTTTTATGTGTTATTTTATTTAAACAGTGTTAAAATGCATAGATATGACTAGGAAGAGATTAATAGAGACAATATAGAATTCCTAATGGATGAATAAAGTACAGAAAAATGTATAATAATCTCAGATTCAAATTTAGAAGTGTTAAGAAAATTGTAGGTTAATGAAAAACTAATATATAATACAACTTTGAATATTTAACTGTATTTACAATGGAAAAATTATGTGAGTCCATGGGATAATACTGCTGGAATTTCTAATATGATTACTTTTATTCTTTTAATACATATTTTCTAATTGTCTATACAATGTACAGGGCACCAGAGTTATAAAAAAGAAAATATACAGTTCTTATGTATTAGTCAAAATACATGCTCATGTCGTCGTAGCAGATAACCCCACTAAACTGCATGAGATGGAAAAAAAATTCCCCTGTGTTCCCAGAAATAGAGGAAAACGGAATGTAGGTGGCCACAGAAGTTCATGCAGGATTGCCGTCTTGTTGTTACCAAATGTGTGGTTCTTTCTCCTTCCCTCATGTAGAACACACACTCTTCATGTTAAACTCCATGCTTCGTATGTAATGTATGTTGTCAATATCATGGATAGGTTCTTGGAAACTGCAACATTAAGTGAAGCAACATACAGCAGGTCCTTGAATAACATAATGATGAAGAGAAAAAAAATGGTTTTGTTATATACGTTGTTTCATTTAATGTAGCTGTTTCCATGAACCTATCAAAGACATAAAGTGAGGACTTAAATAGTCTTGTAACCACCCAACAGATTCACCTTGCCCACTGTCTAGACGGAGCTGATTTATTAAGACAGGGGAGCTGCAAGAAAGAAAGAGTAATTCACACAGAGCGAGCTGTGTAGGAAACCAAAGTTTTATTATTACTCAAATCAGTCTCCCTGAGAATTCAGGGACTGGAATTTTTGAAGATAGTTTGACAGGAGTTCTGACTGGTCAGGTTGGAGATGAAATCTTAGGGAGTTAAAGCTGTCCTCTTGACCTGAGTCAGTTGCTGGATGAGGGGCCACAAGACCAGACAAGCTAGTTGATTAATCTGGATAGTGCCTGCTGGTACATCGAATGCAAAGTCTGCAAAATATGTCAAGCAGTGATCTTACATTTCACAATAGTGATGTTATCTCCAGGAGCAATTTGGGGAGGTTAAGAATCTTGCAGCCTCCAGCTACATGATTCCTAAACCATAATTTCTAATTTTGTGACTAATCTGTTAGTCTTGCAAAGGCAGTGTAGTCCCCAGGCAGGAAGGGAATTTGTTTTGGGAAAGGGCTATTATTGTCTTTGTTTCTAAACCATAAACTAAGTTTCTCCCAAAGATAGTTTGGCCTACTCCCAAGAATGAAGGACAACTTTAAGGTTCGAAGCTAGGTGGAGTCAGTTATGTCATATCTCTTTCACTGTAAAAATTGTCTCAGTTATAATTTTTGCAAAGGAAGTTTCTGATATCTTTAGTGGTACAAATGTTTTCAAAATTAGTAGAATACTGTGGTCTTGAAAATAAAGAATCAACATTATTATGTCAATTTTCCTTGAGTTACCTAAATGTGAGACTATTCCAATAAAAATGCCATCAAGCATTTTTATGAGCCTAGGTTTTAGGATTCATTTGATAAAACCAACAAGTAAGAATACTTAGGAGGACCTTGAAAAATAGCAATGTTGATAGGAGGGTAAATCCTACCAAATGTCAAAATATATTATCATGTTTCTTTTATTAAATCAGTGGAGTATTTGCATATACATAGTTACGTGGATCAGTGGAAGAGAAAAAAACAGTCAAGAAATAAAAAAAAGTTATATATGACAAATATGACATCTCACAACAATTAGGAGAAAGGATGGGCTTTTTAAATTAGTGATGTTGGAACTACACAGCAGCAAAACACAAAAGTCAAAATTTGATCTGTTCCTCACACCATACACCTTGATGTGTTTCAAGCAGATCAGAGGTTGAAAAGATTGAAAAGTTAAGTGAAACACAATACCAGTAGTAGAAGAAGGCAAGGATGATTTAACCTATTACCTGTGAGAAATGAATATTTTCTTCTTAAAATTCAGATTCTGTAAGAGAAAATATTAATAAGTTTGATAACATTTAAGAAGTCTTTTGTCAGAAAGAAAACACCATCAGCAAAAAAAATTTAAGAATCATGTTAGTTATATAATAGAAAAATAGTTAATATCAATAATATACAAAGAGCTTGTAAAAAAAGAAGAAAACAGCAATAGCCTTATAGGAAAATAGGCATAAGAGCATATTAGCCACAGCTTAAACATATGAAAATGTATACAACCTCACAAAATACATTAACATTAAAATTGCATGGTGATTCCATTTCTCACTTGTCAGATTATTAACAATTCAAAAGCTTGACACAAATCAAAAGCTTGGCCTTACATTTTTGAATGGAAATAATTAACTGCAGCAGAGCAGCAATGGTATTTTGGAAGTGAAACTATGACCTTTGTAGTAAAATACAGTTTAGCATAATTTCCACCCCTCCTTATTACATTTCTGACACTGAAAGATTTTTAAATCACTTTTTGACATAGTATCATGAACCAATTAAGACAAAAAAGATGCTGCTGATAAAAGTTAAGTAATTATTTGGGAGATGAACTAAATATTAGAAAAAGGATCAATTTGAAGTCTTCACAAGCAGAAAAAAAGTGCAAGAAGTAATTGCTAACTTTGAAGATAGCCATATATTATGGATCACAAAAACACTACAAAGTGTTCTAAAACTGTCCATTCAACATTTGCTATAAATTATAATAGTCACATGATTACTTCCGAGTCTTCATACATCAATGGCCGTTTCAAATAATGCGTTTAGGCTATGGAAACATAGAAAATAAAGTGTGTTCATGGAAAGATTGCATTATTTTATTGTGGAAGAAATTATGAGAATGTTTAGCTATTTGTCCTTTTGAGTACGCTGCTCCATCCCACATAAGCTCCTTTCTATCCTTCAAGCAAAGTGTTTATATTAAATTTGTCCTATCAACAATTTCTATCTCTTGTTGTTCATTGATATATCATGTTTCTCATTTAAGAATTAATATACAATATTCATTCAGAATATGGAATATTTCATGTTACTAATAATTCACTGTTGTTCGTCATTATTGAATATCTCTTGTAATGTTCCTGGGGAGAATAGCCAGGGTAGTAGTGAAATAAAAATTGGCTAATTACTGACAGCTCAGATGGTTGAAACTCATGGTTGAGATGATTATCTGTGTAGCTTAATTGTGTGCTCTCCTTGGACTTCCTTCTGTGGGTAACTGAAAATCTGCTATGTGATTTCTTTAGCATAAATACTATATGCAGCTGTTAAATCATGTTGCCAAACTTCATTTTTTTTCTTGCTCTTAAAAGGGAATGCTAGTAGAAAAGGTTTGTTGTAATGTAACTCACTTCACTTGTGTAAGTGTGTTTTTCACATGTAAATTGTTTAGGAGATTTCTGAAGCTAGGTGACTCAAAAGTAAATTTTTATAATACCATGTCAAAATTACCAAATGCCTGCTTTAAAGCAAAAGAACACACAGCATCATGTTTTAGAAAAAAACTTTTGAAACAATAAGTACTCTGAGCATCTGAAAGGACAGTTTAAGCAAATATTTTTTGTTTTACTTTCAAAGTTTATGCAAAATGTCAAAACACAGCTGTTTTTCCTCAGAGATTGAATACTATTTGGCTATGTATTCCTTGGCAAGTTATATAAGATTGGGTTTCCTTGAATCACTAAGATTTAATGACAGCTTCTTTATACCACATTCACTTCAGGCAACAAAATCCCCCAAAAGTACAGAATTTTGGAATACCATAAAATCATCCTAAATATAGCTACCAATTGATGAACCCACATCTTTCTGTTATATCATCAGTACCTTCTCAAGCTCAAATTACACTAAATTACTGTTCAAATCATCCTAAAAGGAGACACTAGCTGTCAGTTAAATAAACCATTAGGTTTAACGTAAAATGAGTCAGATGGGCACGATTAATCAGTTTTCTTATTATTGCTGAGCTCCACCTGATTTCTAGACCCATTTTACCAAAGTAATTGGTAGATTTTATTATGGACACTGGATAACTCCACTTTTAGTTTTATGTGTTATTATTTAAACAGTGTTAAAATGCATAGATATGTCTAGGAGGAGATTAATAGAGACAATATAGAATTCCTAATGGATGAATAAAGTACATAAAAATATATAATAACCTCAGATGCAAATTTAGAAGAGTTATTTTCTTAGTAGAGACCAAAATTCAGATTCTGTAAGAGAAAATACTAGTAAGTTTGATAACATTTAATTAAAAAATCTTTCATCAGAAAGAAAGCACCATCAGCAAAAAAATAAATTAAAAAAATTATGTAAGTTATATAACAGAAAAACAGTGTCAATAATATACAAACAGCTTGTAAAAAAAGAGAAGAAAACAGTAATAGCCTTACAGAAAATAGGCATAAGATAAGGGCATATTAGCCACGGCTTAAACATATAAAAATGTATACAAGCTACCAGAATACATTAACATTAAAATTACATGGTCATTCCATTTCTCACTTATCAGATTATTAACAATTCAAAAGCTTGACCACATAGTTTGTTTGTTAGTTTGTTTGTTTTGTTTTTTGGGGACAAAGCTATGGAAAAAATAGGCAATCCGGCACTACAAAAGGGTACAACCACTTTGGAGTAGAATTTGTCAAGATCTAACAAAAAGGGTCTGACTCAAGTTTTTGTAATGGACAGCAGACAACTTTTAAGCCCAACAACTCCCACTTGCCCTTCCACACACATCTGGGCAAGCTGATGAGGAAGCCTCGATGCTCTTACCTTTGGTGTCAGTAGGAAGTTCAAAACACACAAGTGCTAACCCCTATGCAGTAGTTCTTTCCCTAACCCCACTCCCAGCTACCATAAAAAACAAACTGGTCTCCTTTCTCCACTTTCTCAAGGCATCCTTATTTATGTTTGAGACATTGCCCTGTTCTTCTCAGAAAAACTCATTGTGTGAGTAATAGAACTTTTTATACCCTCTTGGTGCATATGTGGCACCATCAGCCTTGATATCCAAACCAAATTTTGGGTGAGGGTCCATCACATTTTTGTAGGATGGCTTTATTAGGGTTATCTAGAGGGACAGAACTAACAGGATACATGTATATATGAAAGGGAGTTTATGAGGAGACATGACTCACACAGTAACAAGGTGATGTCCCATAATAGGCTGTCTGCAAGTTGAGCAGCAAGGAAGCCCGTAGTGGCTATGTCCAAGTCCCAGAATCTCAAAAGTAGGGAAGCTAGCAATACAGCCTCCAGTCTGTGTCTGAAGGTCCGAGAGCCCCTGGCAAGCCACTAGTATAAGTTCAAGAGTCCAAAAGCCAACTAACTTGGACTCTCACATTTAAGAGTAGGAAGCATCCAGCACAGAAGAAAGATGAAGGCTGGAAGACTCAGCAAGTCAGCTTCTTCCACCTTCTTCTCCTGCTTTTTCTAGCCACACTGGCAGGCAATTGAATGGTGCCCACCCACATTGTGGGTGTGTTTTCCTGAGTAAGAGTGAATCTTGCTCTCCCAGCCCACTGATGCAAATGTTAATCTATCCTGGCAACACCCAGAAACAATACTTTGCATCCTTCAATCCAATCAAGTTGACACTTAATATTAACCATCACAATGGCCAAACACGTTTATTTACTTTTGACTCTGAGTCCACTTCTAAGAATCTATCTCAAAGCCATCTAGCAAAAAATATAAAAATATGTATACACATAATTATTGCTTACAGCACTAGTTTTGTCACTGCAAACAACTGGAAACAATCTGAATGTCCAGTAACAGGGGACTGTTTAAGAAAACAATTGAGCAGCCAAACAATTAAATACTGTGCAAATGTAAAAAGAAATAAGGAAGACTTCTGTATACTATTATGGAATGACATCCAAAACACGTTACAAAGTGAGAAAGGGCACATGCATAACAATTTGTACAGTTTGCTAACTTGCACTTAAGAAAGATGGGCATATCTATATCTATACATATTTGTTTATTTTTTCTTTACAAAAAATAAGGTAATACTAAAATAAATTAGCAAAAAGTTCACCTAAATAAAAAGTGGTAGGGACAGGGTGCAGGGGATGGAAATGGAAGACAGTTTACCATGCTTATACATTTGACTTTGGTAGTATATAAATGTCTTACACATTATAAACAAAATGAAATCAAAATGAAACATCAGTACTTAAAAATAAAATACAAAAATTATATCATCTGAACTGTGTATCTCGTTGGAGGCCTATACTCACAGATAATTATTTCAAATGACTTTAAAATGAATTATCTACGTATCCTTAGTAGGGATTATCCTAAGGACAAAAGAAAATGCAAAGAAACATTAAACTGACTTATGATTATATTTTTACTAACAATATTGATCATTTTATTTGGAAACTTTTCTGTAGATATTGCCAGAGAAAGCAAATAAATATTTGTGTTAATGTCATTGGAAGCTAAGACTTTCAGTATAATTAAACAGATACTTATACTCTGAACTCCTAATTTTAAATGGAAAATATCAGTAAGAATTTATGATATAAATTCTAAAATCTATAAATCTATTTTCTTGATTTCTACTGTGAAAAAAAAAAGACAAACATATATGTGATGAGTTGCCCTAAATTTGCAATGATGAACTCTATGATTTTTCCAATTAAGGCAACCAGAGAGTCTTGGAGAAATAATAAAAAAAAAAAGGGTGTGGTGAACAATATGTACAAAATGAGCCTGGAGCATGTTGTCATGCCAGAAAACAGGGAAGCTATAAAAAGAAATGATTTGCATCATGTTAAAAGGATTCAGATGCCTAAAGAGTTTCCTGCTAGCCAAAGTTCAGATAATATGAGCATCAAAAGTAATAATAACTGCAGTGGATAGAAACACATAAAATATATTGCAAATTCATGAATTAATTATGTTGATTTGAAAAAACAACTTCAGTTTGCAGGTTTCTGTGGAACCAGTTTTGGAAACTGGCAAAGGAAAGAGTCAGGCAGTTTTCCTGCTTCTCTTGTACAAATTGTTCCTCAGGGTAACCAAACAGTGCAAAATGTTTTTAAAAATTGCTTCTGCTAACAAATAACAAATTGAAAGAATTAGTATAGTCCCATTTTGCAAATTCTAGTGAAATCACAGATTTGAGAAATGATCATAAATGGATGCTGAAACTATTATGTGAAAAGCTAATGGATAATTTAATAATGAATTGATGAATGAAGCTGGCACACTTGACTTACTGATCAAACTTTTTATCACTGTAAAAGGAGACAACAGGACATTATGAATCTTTGTATATGATTCTATGGAAAGTTAAAGAAACCCACTATATATGAATTTTCATTACCAAACAATTGTACCTGAGAACCACAATCTGTATGACATACGGGAGATAGATCAACATATTAGATGGTATCATGAAAATACAATCTATAAAATCTTGAGTGTGTAGAACTATAGTAGTAGGTTTTAAACTTTAGCATGCATCAGCATATTGCTGGGCTCTTAACTCTAGAGTTTCAGGTTCAATAGGTTTGGGGTGTTTCCTGAGAACTTAATTTCTAACAAGTTCCCAGATGATGCTGATCCCTGCTGATCTCAGGAGTACCAGTGACTTTTTCCAACAAATACAGTGAACATACAGAGTCAAGTACACTTAGGAAACACTCCAGGAATATGGCATGTGCAGAGCCTCTTTGGATTCTGATTTGAAAAAACATCTGTAAAAAATGTTTATGAAGAAATTGGAGAAATAGGCTCAGTGATACTTTATTGTAGAAATTATTATTAAATGTTAATAAGTGATAAACATGTTTTCTGTGTTTTCTTTAGGTGTGAATTTTAGAGATATATACTAGAACATTATTGGTTAAATGATATTAAAGATGTTGAATATGTGGTGTTTCATATAGTATTCTCTATATGTTTAAAATTTTCTAAAATAAAAATTGATTTATAAAGCCAGAATGTAAATCTATTTTCATTGTATTTCTAAAAAGCCAGTAGGTTTCTGGATATTATAAAGACATTCAATATAGATATAGTTGTGTCAATTTATAGTATTTAATTTTGAGATGAGAGTTTTGTTATAGTTTATAAAAGATGGTTTCCTACTGAGAACTCAGAACTATTTTGGAACCTAAGAATAAATGTGATTCCCAGCAGCTTCAAGTTTTGATATTCAACAAGCTAATAATTTTTAAGTTAAATATAATGAGCTATTGTTCAGCAAAAGAATGTGTTTTTCCCTTTTAACTTCTAACAAATTCTGTATCTAATGTATAAATAGTATGGAAAAATAAGGGGTAATGTAAAAATATAGGGACATTGTGGCTAAAGAATTAAAATCACTTCCAAAATAAACATATTCTTATGGCAAAAAAATCAGTAGCTATAGCTCCAGTTCTTTTCAAGTTATATTCTCCAATATTATATAAATTATAAAAATATTATGGATTACACTATGCTATATATTTTCATTTTATTATTTGTTATATATTTATATATTACATATTTATCTTTAGTTTTATTATATATAATATATCACATATATATATAGAGAGAGAGACAGAGAGAGAGAGAGACACTTTGTGAACCTCCCTTCTCTCCCTCAATTTAATGGGGACTGCCTTGAGATGAGGCTGTTAGTACGGTCTCTTGGAAGGCCACACACTTAATGGGATTTTTGTTCTGAGTTACTTTATTAAATTAAAAGTTTTTATTAGGTGCCACACTCTTAAGAAAACTTTTCCCAGAGGAAACTTAAATCAGATTAAACGTTTTATTGGGCATTCATTCCTTAAAGTCTTATCACTCTTATCTTTTATATTTGGAGCTCAGAAGTAGTCTTTTAAACACTGGAAGGTCTAGAATTTCTGGACTTTTCTATTTCCATTATTATTATTCGCTTTGAAACTAACCAATTATTTTCAGAGTTCTTCTTTCACTTATAATACTATGCCAAACACAACAAATAACAACTAACACAATTACCATTAGGTTGGCGCAAAAGTAATTGAGGTTTTTGCAATGAAATTGTTGCAAAAAACACAATTACTTTCGCACCAGTCTAATAACATTTTCATTTTTTACTTTGCTTTCTAACTTCTTTTTGGCTACAAGTTCATTTGTTCCATGTTCTGATGAATAATTTGTGAAACATGACAGTTATTCCAAATTTCTTGTGATTGTATAATATGGTTACCATCCTTCCCAGCTATATTAAAATGTCTTATTTTATTTTACTGTTTCCACATCTACAATGAAAGTAAGGTTAATTTTTTTTTTAATTCATCCAAGTAGGTTGGGCTATGCTGCAGTTACAGAAGCTGCCAAATTTCGGAGGCTCTGCACAATCACCCAGGGACAGAGGCTGATAGACTTTTCACTCTCTTGAAGCTACACCATTTAGAATATGTATATGTGATAACATGTCAGGGGAAGAAAAGACTGGAACTGATTTTTTTAAACCAATTAGCCATAACTGTGGCACCATCTCCAGCCTAAGGATAAAGGAAAGTATAATTATCCTGTGTACCTGAAGGGAGCGAAAACTCCATTAGATATTACTGCACACTAGAAATCCATACCACACCTTGACCTAAAACACCATGAGTCAAACAGATAGGCAAACCCCATGTTACAATACAGAGCAATAACTGATATGATAAAAGTATGCAGTGTGCTACAAAACATGGTGAGTGATATAGAGGAACTCTCGTGGTTTTGTCTCTTCCATCCTTGTATTAGTCCCTTCTCTCATTGCTGTAAAGAACTACCTGAGACTGGGTAATTTACAAAAAATAGAGGTTTAATTGGCTTATGGATCCACAGGCTGTACAGAAAGCATGGTGGCATCAGCTTTTGGGGAGGCCTCAGGGAACTTACAATCAAGATAGAAGGTGAAGGGGGAGGCAGCCCTTCACATGGCTGGAGATAGAGGAAGAGAGAGAAGGGGAGGTGCCACACACTTTTAAACAACCAGATATCGTGAGAATTCAGTCACTATCATGAGAACAGCACCGACAAGAAATCTGCCCCCATGATTTAATCACTACCCACCAGGCCCCATCTCCAACATGGGGGATTTTGTTTTGTTTTGAGACGGAGTCTCACTCTGTCACCTAGGCTGGAGTTCGGTGGCACGATCTTGGCTCACTGCAACCTCCGTTTCCCAGGTTCAAGTGATTCTCCTGCCTCAGCCTCCTGAGTAGCTGGGACTATAGACGTTCGCTACTACACCCAGCTAATTTTTGCATTTTTAGTAGAGACAGGGTTTCACCATTTTGGTCAAGGTGGTCTCAAACTCCTGACCTCAAGTGATCTGCCTGCCTCGACCTCCCAAAGTGCTGGGATTACAGGCTTGAGCCACGGTGCTGGGCCAACATTGGGGATTACAATTAAACATAAGATTTCGGTGGGACACAGAGCCAAACCATATCATTCTGCCCCTGCCCCCTCCAAAGTCTCATCTTTCTCACATTGCAAAATATAATCATGTCTTCCAAACAGTCCTCCAAAAGTCTTAACTCATTTCATCATTAACTCAAAAGCCCAAAATCTCATCTAAGATGAGCCTAGTTCCTTCTACCTATGAGGCTGTAAAATAAAAAATAAGTTGGTTACTTCCAAGATACAATGAGGATACAGGCATTGGGTAAATATTCCCATTCCAAAAGGGAGAAATCAGCCAAAACAGAGGGGCTACAGGCCCCACGTGAGTCCCAAACACAGCAGGGCAGTCATTAAATCTTAAAGATCCAAAATAATCTCTTTAGACTCCATGTTCCTTATCTAGGACACACTGATGCAAGGGATTATTTGAATCTTCTCTCTCTTTTTTTTTTTACTTTGTTAGTCTATCAATCTTATGTTTGGTCTATCAATCTCATTTGTTTTTTGCAGAAGCAACTCAGTTTTATTGATCTTTTTATGGATTATTGTATCTCAATTTTATTAAGTTCTCTAATTTTAGTTATTTCTTTTCTTCTGCTAGCTTTGGAGCTGATTAGTTTCTTTTTTTCTAGTTTCTCTAGGTGCAGTGTTAGGTTATTAATTTGAGATCTTTCTAACTTTTTAATGAAGGCATTTGGCACTGTAAATTTTCCACTTAACATTGCTTTAGCTGTATCTCGAAGATTTGTTAATTTTTGTCTCTGTTTTCATTTATTTTATTTTTTTTTACTTCTGCCTTAATTTTGTTGTTCACCCAAGAGTTATTCAGGAGCAAGTTGTTTATATTCCATGTATCTGTGTAGTTTTGAGAGATGTTCTTGATATTGATTTCTATTTTTATTGCACTGTGGTCAAGAGTATGCTTGATATGATTTCAATATTTTAAATTTTTGAGACTTGCTTTATAACCAAACAGGTGGTTAATCTTAGAATATGTTCTGTATGCAGATGAAAATAATGCATATTCTGTAGTTATTGGCTGGAGTTCTGTAGATGTTTATTAGGTCCAGTTGGTCAAGTGTAAAGTTTAATTTCAGAATTTCCACCTTGATGATCTGTCTAATGCTGTCAGGGGGGTGTTGAAGTCTCCCACTATTACTGTGTGTGTGTGTTTAGGCTTTTTGTAAATAAAAAAAAAATTCTTTTATGAGTCTGGGTGCTCCAAGGCTGAGTACAGATATATTTAAGATAGTTAAGTATTCTTGTTGAATTAAAACCTTTGTAATTAAGTAATGTCTTTGTTGTTCTTAATTGTTGTTGATTTAAAGTCTGCTTTATCTGACATAGCAATAGTGACTCCTGCTCTTCTTTGTTTTTAATTTGCATAGAAGATCTTTCTTCATTTCTTTTCTTTGAGCCTGTTGGTGTCATTACATGTGAGATGGGTTTCATAAAGATAACAGACAGTTAAGTCTTGTCTTTTAATCCAGCTTTTCACTCTATGCGATTTAAGTCAGGCATTTCGACCATTTCCATTCCGGGTTCATATTTATTTTTTAACTTAATTGTTTTAAGTTCAGGGGTACATTTGCAGGTTTGTTATATAGGTAAACTTGTGTCATAAAGGTGTGTTCTACAGATTACTTCATCATCCAGGTATTAAGGCCAGTAATCATTACTGATATTTCCTGATTATCTCCCTCCTACCATCTTCTACTCTCCGTGTGTGTTGTTCCTCTTTATTTGTCCATGTGTTCTCATCAGTTAGCTCCCACTTATAAGTGAGAACATGTGATATTTGTTTTTTTGTTCCTGTGTTAGTTTGCTAAGAATAATGGCCTCCAGCTCCATCCCTGTCCCTGCAAAGGGCATGATCTCATTCTTTTTTAATCCTATAAAAAAAAAACACACACACACACATAGTATTCCATGGTATATACGTAACACACTTTATTCAGTCTATTATTGATGGACATTTAGGTTGATTCCGTGTCCTTGCTGTTGTGAATAGTGCTGTAATGAACGCATGCTTGCATGTGTCTTTATAATAGAACAACATATACTCCCCTGGGTATACAAAAGTAAACATTAGAAATAATAGAAATCAATGAAATTGAAAACAAGAAACCAGCTAACAACATGATGACAGGATCAAAATCTCATAATCTTTATTTTGTTGGCTGGGTTCCTGTTTTCAATTTCATTGATTTCTGCTCTTTTTATAATTTCTAATGTTGACTTTTCTTCTGCATGCTTTGGATTTAATTTGCTATTTCCCTAGTTTTCTACATTGGAAATTTGATTGCTGATTATAGTTCTGTCTTCTTTTGTAGTATATGCATTAAATGCTATACATTTCCCTCTAAGTACTGCCTTGGTTCTATTCTACAAAAGTCAATAATTTCCATTTGAGATATTTAAAAATATGTTCTAAAATTGTCTTCACCCTTCTTATTAGATATATATGTTATTTTAAAGTGTGTCGTTTACTCTCCAAGTATTTTGGATGTTTTCCATGTAACTTTCAGTCACTGATTTCTAGTTTCATTTTATTATGGTCTGAAAGCATACTTTGTATGATTGCTATTAATTTAAATTAATTAAGGTGAGTTTTATGGCCCAGAATACTTTCTAAGTTGGTAAATGTTTAATATAAGCTTAAGAAAAATGTTTGTTTTTCTGTTTTTGAATAAATTTTTCTATAAATTTCCGTTAGATTTAGTTTATTAAAGATACTATTCTGTTCAAATATGGCCATACTGATTTTATGAATTCTGAATCTGTCATAATGATAGTGGAGTGTGTTGAAATCTCCAACTATATGAAAGTAGATTTTTCTATTTCTCCTTTCATTTCTGTCACTTCTTTTTTCACATATTCAATGCTCATTGTTAAGCACATACATATTAAGAATTTTTATATCTTTTGGAGAATTGATTCCTTTCTCATTATGTAATGCCCTTCTTTACTTTTAATATTTTTCCTTATTCTCAAATCTGTCTTGTCTGAAATTAATATAGTTACTACATCTTTCTTCTTGCTGTTGTTAGCATGGCATATGTTTATCCATCATTTTATGGGTCATAATTTTTGGCTTCTTTGCATATCTAATAATTTTTCACTGTATAGTAGGTGTCTGTGAATATTATGGTATTGAGTGTCTATATTTGTTGTCCTACATTAGCAAGATTTGAATTATATTTAGACAGGCAGCTATATTACTTACAGATCAGTTTAATCCTTCGCTACAGAAAAATCTATCAACCTGATTGGTCAGATAAAGTCTGACAGATTTTTCCGTAGAGAAGGATTAAATGAGTTTTTCAACGTATTGGTTAGAGTTTAAATGTCTTCCCACCCTTTGTAATTTCTGGGAATTATTCAAGTCAGGACTTTCCAGCTGTTGTCTGTTTTAACTTGTGGAATTTCACCTTATGCATGCACAGCTTTTTATTGAGGAAAAATTCAACGGCTTTTCTATTCAGATTTGTGAAGCTCTTTCTCTGTGCTATTCCTTCACCTCCAGTACTCTACAAATTCCAAAGTTTATCTAAACTTTCCAGAATTTTAATTCTGATCTTTTCAATCCAGGGAGATTACTGGTATTTACCTGAGTTTACCTTTCCTATTTCTCTGTTTGGGATATTGTGGTGCTTACCTTCTTTTAACCCTTCTTCACTGATTACAGTTCTGTGCTGCATGTTTGCCAATATCTGCAAACAGTATTTTATCTGTATTTTCCAGTTTTGTAATTTTTTCTGAAAGGAGGGCAAGTCCACTACCAGTTACTCTATCAAAGTAGAAAAAATTTCGTCTTGCAATTTTAATATACCCAATTTAAAATATTTTGTAATGAAATAATCACTTATGATAATCCATGTTTTTATTTATTATATTTTGCTTTTCTTAGTTTTATTTTATTTTAAAATAGTTATGTCAATTTTTACTTGTTTTTGTAAAGATCTTTTATGTATACATAAAAAGCATATATGTATAAATATGAATATGTATGTGTGTATATATATATACACACATACATATCTATACATTGTGTGAAAGTTTTATCCCACTAGAGACACTATGTTTATTTTACCAACATTTCGATGAAAGTATGTATCAAAAATCAAAAACGGGAGTTTGGGTGGTCCCTGGTACTGGTTGGGGGCTGGCTGCTGGGGTATTTGGCTGTTACAATAAAGTTATAATGAACATATGTGTACAGGTATTTGTATGGACATATGTTATCATTTCTTTTGAATAAATACCTAAAAGTGGGATTGCCAGAATCAAGGATCCTATCATAATTACTCAGCATAGATTTTTATAGAGTTTTCTGGTGGATTTGATCAAGATGGCTGACTAGACTTAGCCAAGTGGAACAGCTGCCACAGAGGGATGGGGATGACTGGTGCACTCCTAACAGATCTTCAGAGGGGAAGGCACTGAGAGTGGATGGAGGAAAGACACAGAAGCTAGCCCGAAGCGGGAGGAAGCTGGGAATCCTGCAAGGGGCTACCATGCACAGGGACTCATTCCCAGCCCCCAGTGACTGAGGCAGCCAATTACTTGAACTGCCAAGGAGCAACCCACTTTCCCCAAAGACCTCTGGAATCCTGGCAGGCGGAGACCCCTCTATGACTATGGACACTTGAGTTGGCAGAGAAAGCTGCTTAGAGAAGTGGTAGGGGACAGAACTCCAGCCAGTGCAGAGTCCAGAGGCTTTGGTGTGGGCGCATCTGTAGTGGAGCATGGCCAGGGATTCCATCCCCCAAGGCTCCACATGCTCCCATGGGAGATTTTTGCCCTAAGCAAAGTGTTGGTCCTGAACTCTGCATGGTGGTGGTGTCCATAAGTCGGGGCACCTCCCCCGCCCCAACACCCCTCAGTCTGCTTGCCTCTTCTGAGTCCCCAGCCTGGCTGTGTCTTCTTATAGTGCAGCCCCCAGGTAACTTTGGGGGCCCATATCATAGCTCCTGTGCAGGCAGATTGTGTCTGACAGGCAGAGTGCTCCAATAGGTTGACCCCACAGACGTGCACCAGTCCACCCTTTCCCTCCCCTACTGCAGCCTCCCCCATGCCACTTTCCCTGCAGCCACTCACTCACAACCAGCTTCCCCCATTGCTTTGGCAGCATGTATGTGCATGGAAAGACCTAGCACACTCTGCCAGTGCTGGAGTGCACATGCACCCTGCTGTGTCACTGTTGCAGAAGTGAGTGCACACACACCCACCTACACTGCATGGCCATTGTTTTTGGAGAGTTAGCAGGCATGGAGCCTGCCAACCCTGCCCCAACCATTGCCGCACTTCTGAAGCAACTCTACTGCTGGTGTGAAACTAGGCATGGAAAACAGCAGACCTGCCCCCACTCAGAGTGGCTACTGCCACCAGTGTGCACAGAGAGGGTGCACCTAATACTGCACTCTCAAGCATGGTAGCCCCATGCTGACATCAGCATGAACATGTGCACCATGACTGGTGGGGGATCCCTACCCCCACTGAGCTGTACTGCCATCAACACTGCTGTGAACGCCTGCACAGAAGCCAGCAACCAAGCACACAATAACACCCTGTCACTACCAAAGAGCATGCAACACTCCTGTCCTGTGCTGCCACTGATGCTATTGCTGCCACATGTGAATTAAGATGGATCCAGCTTCCACTGCCCTGTGAAGTGCTTTGTCTGACACCACTCATTAGAATGTTGTGACCAGAAGTCCAAAAGCACTTTGGTCTCTCCAGCACAGCAGGTTCTTAACCTTTGAGGGGGAAGAGGTAAAATCTGGGGCTGGATATCAGTCTCCCAGAGTTAGAACACCCAGTTCAGGAGTCCTAAGATGAAACTTGGCCCCTAAAAGCTTCCAGTCATGAAACCAGATGACTGAACCTACCTTATACCATAACCAAACCCTCAAGGTTTTCAAGTAGGAAAAAAGGAAAAATCTTAACCAAAAAACAGCTACTTCAAAGACTGAATAAAACATCAACCCACAAAGATGAGAAAGACCCAGCAAAAGAACTCTGACACCTCAAAAAGCCAGAGTGCCTTCTTTCCTCCAAATGATCATACTCATTCTACAGCAAGAATTCTTAACCAAACTGAGATAGCTGAAATGACAGAAATATAAATCAGAATATGAACAGGAATGAAGATCATCAATATTCAGGGGAATGTTGAAACCCAATCTAAGGAAGCTAAGAATCACAGTAAAATGATACAGGAGCTGACAGAAAAAATAGCCAGTATAAAAAATAATGTAACTGATGTTACTGCACTAAAAAACACTCTATAAGTATTTCCTAATGAAATTGCAAGTATTAACAGCAGAATACACCAAACTGAGTAAAGAATCTGTGAGCTTGAAGACTGGCTTTCAGAAATAAGACAGTCAGAAAATAGTTTTTTAAAAAAAGAATAAAAAGAAATGAACAAAACATCTGAGAAATACAGGATTGTGTAAAGAGATTGAATCTACAACTCATTGGCATCCCTGAAAGAGATGAGGCAAGTGTAAGCAACATGGAAAATATATTTTAGGTTAGCATACATGAGAACTTTCCTAACCTAGATAGAGAGGCCAACCTTAAAATTGAGGAAATGCAGAGAACTCCCACAAAATATTTCAAAAGATTATCCTCAAGGCACATAAACATCAGATTGTCTAAGGCCGAAACAACAAGAACAAAAAAAATTAAGGGAATCAGAGAGAAGTGACAGATCACTTACAAAAAGAAGCCCATCAGATTAATAGCAGACCTCTCAGCAGAAACCCTACAAGCCAAAACAGATTGGGGGCCTATATTAAATCTTCTTAAAGAAAATAAATTTCAACTCAGAATTTTATATCTGGCCAAAGGATAAATAAGATCCATTTCACATGAACAAATGCTGAAAAAAGTAGTTACCACCAGACCTGCCTTACAAGAGCTCCTGAATGAAGCATTAAACCTGGAAAGGAAAGACCATTACCAGCCACTACAAAAACACACTTAAATGAACAGACCAGTGACACTATAAAGCAACCACAAACAAGTAGGCATAACAAACAACTAACAATACAATGACAAGATCAAATCCACAGATAATCAATACTAACCTTAAATGCAAGTGGACTAAATGCCTTAATTAAATGACACAGAGTGGCAAGCTGGATAAAGAAGCAAGGCCCAATGTATGCTGCCTTCAAGCAAGCCATGTGACATGCAGTGACACTGATAGACTTAAAATAAAGGGATAAAAAAATCAACCAAGCAAATGGAAAACAGAAAAAAGCATGGGTTGCAATTGTAATTTCAGACAAAATTAGAATTTAAACCAACAAAGAACAAAAAAGACAAAAAAGGGTAGCACATCATGATAAAGGGTTCAATTCAACAAGAAGACTTAACTATTCTAAATATATATGCATCCAACACAGAAGTACCTAGACTCATAAAACAATTCTTTAGAGACCTTCAAAGAAATTTAGACTTTCACATAATAATAATAATGGGAGACTTTAACACACCACTGACAGTATTAGACAGATCATCGAGGCAGAAAATTAAGATATTCAGGACCTGAACTCAAAACTGGATCAAATGGACTTGATAGACATCTACAGAACTCTCTACTCCAAAACTATGGAATATATATTCTTTTCATCTGTAGATGGCACATACTCTAAAAGTTGCAACACGATTAGACATTAAAAAATCCTCAACAGATGCAAAAAACCAAAATCATACCAACCACTCTCTTGGACCACAGCACAATAAAAATAGAATTTGAGACTAAAAAAAAAATCACTCAAAACCATGGAATAACATGGAAATTAAACAATCTACTCCTGAATTACTTTTGGGTAAATAATTAAATTAAGGCAGAAATCAAGAAGTATTTGAAACTAATGAGAATAAAGATATACCAGAATCTCTGGGACAAAGCTAAAGCAGGGTTAAGAGGGAAACTCACAGCACTAAATGCTGACATCAAAAAATTAGAAAGATCTCAAATTAACTACCTCACGGCACAACTAAAAGAACTAGAGAAGCAAGAGCAAACTAATCCCAAAGCTAGGAGATGACAAGAAGTAACCAAAATGAGAAGTAAACTGAAGGAGTTTGAGATATGAAAAACCATTCAAAAGACAACCAAAGCCAGGAGCTAGATTATTTGAAAAAATTTATAAGATAGATAGACCACCAGCTAGACTAATAAAGAAGAAAAGAGAGACAATCCAAATAAACACAATCAGAAATTACAAAGGAGATATTACAACTGCCCCCACAGAACAACCATTACTAAGACTCTTATGAATACCTCTATGCACACAGACTAAAAAATCTAGAAGAATTGGATAAATTCCTGGATATATACACCCTCCCAAGACTGAACCTGGAAGAAATTACATTCCTGAACAGACCAATAATGAGCTCTTAAATTGAATCAGTCATAGCCTACCACATCCCCACACCCCCTAGAAAAGCCCTGGACAAGATGGATTCAAAGCCCAATTCTACAATATGTACAGAGAAGAACTGGAACCATTTCTCTTGTAACTATTCCAGAAAACTGAAGAGGAGGAACTCCTCCACAATTCATTCTGTGAAGCCAACATTATCCTGATTCCAAATCCTGTCAGAGTCACCACAAGAAAGAAACTTCAGGTCAATATCCTTGATGAACATTGATGCAAAGTCCTCAACAAAATACTGGCAAACCAAAGCACATCAAAAAGTGAATCTGCCACAATAAATTAGATTTTATCCCTAGGAAGCAAGATTGTTCAACATATATAAATCAATAACACAATTCACCACGTAAACAGAAGTACAACAACTGCATGATTATCTGAATAGATACAGAAAAAGTTTTCATTAAAACTCAGCATTTCTTCATATTAAAACTTACAACAACATAGGTATTGAGGGAAAATACCTTAAAATAATAAGAGCCATCTGTGGGAAACCCACAGTCAACAATCATACTGAATGGACAAAAGCTGGAAGCATTCCTCTTGAAAACTGGCACAAGACAAGGATGCCATCTCACCACTCCTATTTAACATACCATTGGAAGTCATGGCCCAAATAATCAAGGAAGAGAAAAGAATGAAAGACATCCAAATAGGAAGAAAGGAAGTCAAAATATCCCTGATTGCAGATGACATGATTCTATATCTAGAAAAACCCATACTGTCAGGCCAAAAGATCCTTAAGCTGATAAACACCTTCAGCAAAGTCAGGATACAAAATCAATGTACAAAAATCATTAGCATTCCTATACACCAACAATAGCCATACTGATAGCCAAATCATGAATGCAATACAATACCATGCACAATTGACACAATAAGAATAAAATGCCTAAGAATATAGCTAATGAGGGAGGTGAAAGATCTCTACAATGATAAATACAAAACACTGTTCAAGGAAATCAGAGATGACACAAACAAATGGAAATACATTCCATGCTCATGAGTAGGAAAAATCAATATCATTAAAATGTCCATACTGCCCAAAGCAGTTTATAGATTCAGTTGTATTTCTATCAAACTACTAATGACATTCTTCACAGAACTAGAAAAAAAATTGTTGGCCAGGTGCAGTGGCTCATGCCTGTAATCCCAGCTACTTGGGAGGCTGAGGCAGGAGAATCACTTGAACCTGGGAGGCGGAGGCTGCAGTGAGCCAACATTGTGCCATTGCACTCCAGCCTGGGCAACAAGAGTGAAACTCCATCTCAAAAAATATTGTTTTAAAATTAAAATGAAACCAAAAAAGAGCCTGATTAGCCAAGGTAATCCTAAGCAGAAAGAGCAAAGCTGGAGGCCTCATAGTACCTGTCTTTAAACTCTACTGCATGGCTACAATAACCAAAACAACATGGTACTTGTACAAAATCAGGCACATAGACCAATGGAATAGAATTGAGAACCCAGAAATAAGGTCACACACGTACAATCATCTGATCTTTGACAAAGCTAACAAAAGCAAACAATGGGGAAAGGACTTTCTATTCAATAAATGGTGGTGGGATAACTGGCTAGCCATTTGCAGAATATCAAAACTTGACCCCTTCCTTATAACATATACAAAAATTAACTAAAGATACATTAAAGACATAAATATAAAAGCAAAAGCTATAAAAACCCTGGAAGACAAGCTAGGCAACACCAATCTAGACAAAGAAATTGGCAAATGTTTTATGATGAAGAACCCAAAAGCAATTGCAACAAAAGTAAAAATGACAAATAGGATCTAATTAAACTAAAGAGCTTCTGCACAGCAAAAGAAACTATCAACAGAATAACAGACAACTTACAGAATGGGAGAAAATACTTGCAAATTATGCATTTGAAAAAGGTCCAATAGCCAGCATGTATAGAGAACTTACACAAATTTACAAGAAAAAAATTATCAACCCCATTAAAAAGTGGGCAAAGTATATGAACAGACACTTTTCAAAAGAAGACATACATGTGGCCAACAATCATAGGAAAAAAGCTCAACATAACTGAGCATTAGAGAAATGCAAATCAAAACCACAGTGAGATGCCATCTCATACGAATCAGAAAGGGTGTTGTTAAAGAGTCAAAAACCAAGAGATGATGATGAGGTTGCAGAGAAAATAGATCAATTATATAGCGTTTATGGGAGTATAGATTAATTCAAGCATTGTGGAAAGCAGTGTGGTGATTCTTCAAAGAGCTAAAAACAGAACTACCATTTGACCCAGCAATCTCATTACTGAGTATATACCCAAAGGAAAATAAATCATTCTATCATAAAGACACATGCATGTGTAAGTTCTTTTCAGCCTTATTCACAATAGCAAAGACGTAGTATCAACCTTAATGCCAATCAATGAAAACTGGATAAAGAAAATATGGTGCCTAGTCACCATTGAATACTATGCATCCACAATAAAGAACAAGATCATGTCCTTTGAAGTAACATAGATGGAGCTGGAGGCCACTATCCTTAGAAAACTAATGCAGGAACAGAAAATTAAATATCACATGTTTTTCACTGATAAGTAGAACACCTGGACATAAAAAGGGGAACAACAGACACTGCAACCTACCAGGGGGTGGGGAATGGGAGGAGGGAGGGGAGCAGAAAAAAAGTAACTATTGAGTTCTAAGCATAGTACCTGAGTAATGAAATAATCTGTACATCAAACCCCCATGACATGACTTTACCTATATAAAAAATATGCACATGTAACCCTGAACCTCAAATAAATTTTTTTAAAAAAGAAAATTGAATGCGTGATATAAAAAAGAATAATGAAATCATTAAACAAAACTCAAAATCTTGGTGATGTGCCAGTCCTCTCCCTTATTTGAACATGTGCTTTCCATACATAATACCCTGTGAAAAGGAAACTAAATATATTTGGGTAACTGTATTAGTCTGCTAGCACTGCATAATAAAACACCAATGACTAGATGCCTTAAATAACAATGCTGTGATTTGAAAATTCATATGTTGGAACCTAATAGCCAATGTAATAGTATTAAAAGGAAGGACTTTTGTGGAAGTGATTGCTCTACCCTTATGCACAGAACACTTATAAGAGAGGTTGTAGTGAGCACATTAGCTCCTTTTTGCTGGTCCATCTCTTCTGCCGTGTGAGGACACAGGCTTTACTCTTTTTTGCCCTTTATCCTTTTGCTCCTTTTGTCATGTGAGGACTCAGTATTCACATATTTTCTGCCACAAGAGTATTCTGTGAGGAAAACAGTGGCTATGAGGAGCCAGCCCTGACCAGACACCAAAACTGTTGACTCCTTAATCTTGGGCTCCCCAACCTCCACATCTGTGACAATTAAATTTATATTATTTATAAATTACCCAGTCTAAGATATTATGTTTTATTCACCTGCCATGGACTAAGACAAATTTATTTCTCACTGTTCTTGAGGGTGGAAGTTCAGGATGAAGGTGCTAGCAGGGTTGGTTTCTCCTGAGGCCTCTTTATTTCTTTAGCTTGTGGATGGCCATTTTCTTTCTGGGTGCTAACATTGCCTTTCTCTCTCTCTCTCTATCTTTCTCTCTCTCTCTCTCTCTCTCTCTGTGCATTTTCTTCCTTTTTATATAAGGACAACAGTGCTAATGGATTAGGGCTTCACCCTTAGGCCCTCACTTTATCTTAATTATCTCTTTAATGATCCTATGTCCAAATATAACATACGAGGTTAAAGCTTCGACATATCAATTTGTGGAAAGGGGACACGATTCAATCTATAACAGTAACTAAGGAGGTATCTTCAATTGTGTTTGCTCACTTAGATTTTTGTCAATTTGTTTGCCTTGACATGATGATTTCCACTTTTATGGGCATAACTACTCTTGAACAATGTTTAAAAATAATTTAAAAAATAATTATGGGCTATTTTTACATTAATTTTCAATGTAAAGTTATATGTAATGTTACAGCATGAACTTTGTCTCCCTAAAATTAATATGTTGAAGTCCTAAACCCCAGTACTCCAGGATATGATTGTATTTGAAAGTAAGGCCTTTATATTGGTAATTGAGGTTACATGAGGTCACTTCAACAAGCTCTAATTCTATGTGACTGTTATCTTTATCAGTAGAGGAAATTAGGACACAGGTACACACAGAGAGAACATGTGAAGACACAAGAAGACAGCCATCTGCAAGACAAACAGGCAATTCTGCCAACATAAATAACTCTGCCAACACCTTCACCTCAGACTTGTAGCCCTCAGAACTGAAAGTAAATATATTTCTCTTGTTAAAGCCTCTTAGTCTGTGGTACTTTGTTATGGCAGTCCTAGCAAACTGATGTAGGTACTAATTTTTTTTTCACATTTTGCCCAATTTCCTGTCTTTTTCCTGATCATTAATCGTTACCTACCAATTCATTTGCTAAGGGATTGGGATTCACACCTCTGAATTAATCAAGAGATTATGTTAATCAACTACTTTTTTGAGGTGGTATTCCCAGATGACAATCTTGCAAAACTCAGCTAAAGTTTAACAGATTAGATGCAAACGTTAGAGAAATGCTGTGCAATTTTTTTTCCTTTTATTCTTAATCAACATACCTAAAGTGCCCTATTCACCCAGTAATGATTGAAAAATCTCCCAGGGAAAACCTCAACTGTCCTGTCACTTCCCAGATAATCTCTCACATATAAAGTCTTATTTTATATGGGTGACAATGAAAAGAAAATATTGAATACACTTTGGGAACTGAGAATCTCTCAATTATATAGACTCACTTTGGTTTTTGCCATTTTCTTTGTACCAGGGTTGTGAATTGCCTCCTGTCTGTGCTTAACTGTCCTTTAAAAAATTAGTATCTAAAAAACGAATAACCTACAGACAGTAATGTTACCAAACCATAAATGTGCAGGTAGCTGAATTGGCCATTTAAGTCAATACATATTGAATTTCTTCCAGTATCTAAGCTCTCTTTGTGCCCCATACCTATCACTATTGCCACCCTCTTTTCTAACATTGTAAGTTACTTTTGTCTGTTTTTGAAATTCATATTAATCGAATCATACAGTATGTATTATCTTGTGACTAGCATTTTTGTTGTTCAATAATATATTTGTGAAATTCATCTATGTTATTGCATGTAGTAGCACTTTTTCCTCTATTGATCATTCATAGTATTCCATTGTGTTACATCTCCTGCAAATAAACATGTTCTTTGGCTCATTTTATTGTTAATGGCAATTACAGTAATTTCTAGTTTCTGGATGTTAGGACCTGTTGTGCTATAGATGGTTTGGCACTTGCCTTCTGGTGCACATACGTACCCATTTCTGTAGTTAATAGACCCATGATTGGAAGTGCTGGTTCAAAACCTATGCAGATATTCAGGTTTAATAGTTCATGAACAGTTCTACAAAGTAATTTTACCAATCTCGCCGATACTGATATCCTCTTTCCAAATTGCCTCAAAAAGTCTGTTTTCATTTTCCTATTAGGTTGACTGTCTCTTATTAATTTCTAGAAAATTTGTATACATTATGGACACAAGTAACTTTGTCCATAATAGACATTTCCGGTTAAACATTTCAAATGTTGGGTTGCATGCATTTTTGGCTTGCATTTTCTTTTGCTTTATGCTGTGTTTTGGTGAAAAGAAATTCTGAATTTTAATGTAGTACAAATTATCAATTGTTCTCTTTGCTGCTAGTGTGATTTGTTTTATTTGTTTTCTTTTTAATAAGTTGTTGCCTATTTCAAGGTCATAAAGACATTTTTCTATGTTATATTCCAGAAGTTTCTCATTTTACATTTCATATTTAGAGTGTCCAAACTCCTGTTAAAGATCAACAGGAACAAGCCTGTAGTGTGACAAAATCAGATTTATTGACTCACTGGAAGGGAAGGGTATTTCAGAGGACTAGTGGAATGTCATCTGACAAGATAGAAGGAAGTGTCTTTTGCAAAGTTTGAGTTACCACTGAAGGATTCTGAGGGCAGTCTAATGGAAGTATGGTTGTTATTTCTGAGGATGGATTAAAATAAGTACAGATTAACTGGGGATTGGTTACTGACAAAAGCAATTGGGTTTTCCCTAGTAACACACAAAAATAGAAAATCTGGTCTGGATATGTCGATAGTAAGAAAGCAGTGGTCACCCAAAGAGGTGGCCCTTATTGAATGTCACAACTGTTGCAAGACCTTGGAAGAAACAATGTTACATTTTTTTGAGACTATATCTGACTTTCTCTCTGCCTGTCCTCCCAGACTTATTAACAATAGAGCTGCTTTTTTTTCCCCTCCAGTTCTGAAAAGATTTTTTATTCTTTTCACTCTTCAAATTCTACGGCATTAAAAAATGTCAATTTTTTAAAATATGTGGATATTCAATTAGTACAGCATCATTTTTTGAATGGAAATTTCTTACCCCACTATTCTGATGTGTCACCTTTGAAGTAAATCAGATGACTTTATGTAGGTCTGTTTTTGGGCTCTGGAATTTTTATTTCCTTCATTGTCCTATTCTTATTTAAAAAATCACACCATCTTAATTATCATATCTTTTTAAATAAAGCATAATTTTCATCCTCAAGCTATCCTGGCTATTTTTAACCCTTTGCAAGTACATATAAATTAATAATCATCTGGTCAATTTCAAAAACAGCTGGCTGTAATTTTGATTAGGATTTCTTTGAATCTATACATTGTTTGGGGGAGAAAAAACATTGAGCTAGAACTAGACAGACTGAAAAATGCCAGTAATTGGATTCATAATAATCAGGTTTGAGTTGTTGGCTCATCATTTTGCTATAGTGCTAGATCTGATAGTGGGTAGGATAAACTTACTAGTGAGAATGTCAAGCGATGTGATGTTGGAATTATCCGTTCAAATTGAAGATGATGATTTTGAACCAGAAATGCTATGCATAATAAAACAATAATACAAAATACTTAAGATGAGTATCCAAATAGAGGGCACTAACGGGAAAATGAAAAAATAAGAGATTGAACTCTGGAAAAGGTGTCCAGCTGAATATTAACTGAATAGGCAAACTAAGTATTTACAGATCATTTTGGATAACAGTGAATCAGAAGAATTGATGTCAAGGATTCAGCTGAAACAGTTGGAAGAAGCTATGGTTAAAAGTTAGAATTTCACTGGCTATGTGGTAGAATTATATAATCTTTGTTTTCAATCTCATTTGATTATCTGAAATGTTATGTCATAATCTTTTTCCTCTATCTTTATTTTTTCTATATTTACCTTTCATTCTCACTCCTTTCCATAAGAAAACTCCCTTACCTACTCCTATCTATTAGTATCACTTTTCATCAGTGCTCTACTGGTGATTTTGATACACTCAGAAGAATTATTACTAGTATCCATAATAAACAACATTCAGGGCACTGAAAAAGTATCTGCCTTATGCTACGATGGAAATTACTTCAAGTCCTCAGATCAGTTTATCCTACATGCTTGTTTTACTTGTCTGCCTGAACTATTACTGTATAATTTTCATATTGATAAAGTAATTAGAGTTCAGTGTGATATGACTTATGATAAATCACAAAAACCAAAATTAAGCACGATCCTCCACTTTTTATTTAAATCATAAAAAGTACCATCCTCATCTGCCTCTCCTTTCATGTAGCAATATTTTCAAGTGTCCCCTTATAGTAAATTGTATTTTAGAAAAGTTAAAACATTCAAATATTCTCCTCCTTTCTTAAAAACTGTTTATTTGCAACTTTGTACCTCCAGTCCTCTCAGGAATCAAATTTCTTTGGCTAAATGTGATCAATTTCCTTGATTAGTCATGAGTGTCAAAATTGACTTTCTTAAATTATTTAGCAAGGGAATTATTGTTAAAGCTCAGACAAGAGGAAATAGTTTAGTAACTTTATCTCCCATTTAAGAAATTAAGAGGCAGACTTAATTGATTTGATTATAAAGTTTCAAATAACAATATTACCAAGATGGGAAAAGAAAAGAAATATAGTTCATTCTTGTTCCAGGAAATTCTGGGAAGAAAAATTGAGACACAAATAGGGTTAGGAGATTAGACACCAGGACTTTCACAAACCCCTACTAGAACAAATAGATAGAGGTGGAGGAGTCAGATGGATGTAAACATTAAGATTATTGACACACTAGGCAGAGGCTGCAAACCTCTAGAAGAATCCTCACATGCCCTTACTTTCAACACAATGTTTGAGCTATGATGTTGAGGTGCAGGTATTAGATAAATAGTTTGATGAACCTGAGTCAAAGTTTCTGATTCCATATGGCCTGGAAAATTGGGACTTAGATGTTTCAGTGTACCTCACTGAGGATGCTATGTGGAGTTGATAGGACACTTTTGGAGCAGTAGAAACCTGGGATTGTAATGAAGAGAAAGTATCATGAATTGGGAATTCAAGATTAGGGGCCAATATCCAAGAACATAAGCTCAACAAGTAGGTGCAGCACATCACACATAGGAGGGCAAATGAGACCAGTTGCACACCAGCACTCATCATTCTAGGAAGCAGCACAAACTGCTGAGTATCCAGAGAGAACAACGGAAGTCCAAAGGGTTCCATAAGAATGCAGGACATCCCATATCCCTTTTATTGCCCGGAGGGTCACATAAGCCACACGCACTTCAGTTCTAAACATACCCACAAGCCATCTGAGAGAGGATCAAGAAGAGGGAGGCAGAACACTAAAAACTGAGGTACTTGGGTCTTCCAAGGAGACATGAACTGAATTACCTAAAGAGATAGTTTAAGTTATTGGAGTAAAATGAGATTACAGGATTATATTCAACCTTGGGTGGGGGGTGGCTTTTATTATTTTTATTGCTATCTAATAGGGTCATGAACAGGTCCTAAAATAAAAGTCAAATCAATTGTAGACAATAAAAAAAGACATTGCATTTATATATCTGAAGGCACTTTCACAACACTGCTACATAATTAAATATGTGTCTATAGCATTATTTCTCATAGTCAAGCAAAGTTGGAATGTATTAAATAACTATAATTGAACCAACATTATTGCTAATCATTTATATTTTTCCATGGATATGTATTGCTCTGTCTTCCAACTTCTTATAGGCCACATGAGGGAAACTCACATGTAGGAGAAGAGAATGAGGCAACACACAGTTCACAAAGTGAAGCAGAGCCAAAAGAATGAGGGAGAGCCAAACAGAAAACAGCTTTTGAATATCTTGGTATTGTCAGGCCTGAAACCGAAACTACTCTTAGTCTTCCTCTATTATACAGGTTGCTACATTCCCTGTTTTACATAAGCTATTTTATGATAGATTTTCATCGCTTACATTCAAAAAAATCACAATAAAGTATGTTTGTTTTCATGTACGTGATCTTTCGACATAGTAAGCATGCATGTTAAAGATTTTAACTCTTGACTTTTACATCCATTGTAAAAAGTGGCGCCAGGTTTGGTATCATTTTCATTTATGGATGTTTGGGTTTTCTCGGTTATTTATTTATTTATTTTTACATTTTCCCCAGCTTTATTGAGGTATAATTGACAAAAAATATATATAGTTGAGTACAATGTGATTTATTAATTTACTTATACATTGTGAAATAAATACCACAATCGAGCTAATTACGTGATTAGCTTGAATACGTATTCATCACCTCACAGTTACCCTTTTCTGTGTGTGTATGGCGAGAACGTTTCAAATCTACTCAGAAAATTTTAAGTATATAATACAGTATTATTAACTATAGTCATCATGTTGTACACTGGATCTCCAGAGCTTATTTACTCATCCTGCACAACTGAAACTTTGTACCATTTGACTAACATCTCCCCATTTTCCCCACCCGGCAGCCCCTGGCAACCACCTGTATTTATCACATAAAAATCTTCTCTTTTATGTTTTTTTCCCCCTAGGTCAGAAATGCCTGCTTCAACAGAGTTCAAATGTGCATTCAACAAGAGTTGTTCCTTTTCATGATTTTATTATTAATAATGAAAATTATGTTAAAGAAAATTCCAAATATCACATAATTTTATTCATCAATAATTCAATGTAAATTTCAAAAATAAGAACTTTTTTTTACTATAACTACAATCCATTACTACACTGAAAAATTAATACTAATCCTTAAAGTAATAAAATTCCAGTCAATATAAACATGTTCTTGACTGACTCAATATGAATTTTTATAGTTGGTTTCTTCAAGCAGTGTCCAAAGTTATTACATTTGGTCACGATGTCACTTTTATTCAGTAACAGTTCCCTTTCCCTTTTTACTACATATTGATTAAAACAATTTATCTTTTAGAAGTTCCCATGTTCTGGAATTGCAAGATTGAGTCATCTTTATGTCTTTTAATATTCTTTTGCTTTGCATTTCCTATAACCTGGTGGATAGTGTCTGGATATTTCACTTTTATGGTGTTACATTTGATTAGGCTCAGGTGTTATAGACCTGGTATATCTATTATAAAGTTCTCCATCAGCATTTCACCCTAATATTTCAGTGAACATTGATTATCTTCACATAGACTCATTATTTCATTTTTGATTCATTTACTGCCAAACTTTCTGTATTCTTATGTCTTAAATGTTTCTTTAAAACAGTATATGGGTGGATTTTTCTTCTGATATTTTGCTTCATAAATGGAACACATAATTCATATATAATCAATGGAATTACTAACAAATTTGAGTTTTAATGAACTGTATTATGTTGTGATTTTTATTTGTACTAAATATCCTGTGTTTCTTTGTCTCTTCTTTTTTGCCTCATTTTGAATTGAATAATTTTTATTATGTCATTTTTTTCTCTACTAATTTGGAAATTTCACTTTCTGTTTTGAATTTTTTATGGGTAACCTGGAAATTACATATGCCTACTTGACAAAGTCTTACTATAAACAAAACCTTTTTTCACCCCTTGTGACTGTGCAAGTACCTTAGAATACCTTCATTCAATTTAATCACCTCCCAAAGAATTTGTCACTCCTCTTACTTATTTTAATTATCTTTTTAAATGCCCAAAGATGTTATCATTATTGTAGCTTTTTGCAGTCAGTGTTCATCTAGATTTATTTATATATTTACTATTTTATTTATTTCTCATTCTCTCTTACATCTCAGACCCTCCATTTCAATTTACTTTTCTTCCACTTGAAGCATATCCTTAAGTTCAGTTGGTAATTACAGATTTCATTATCTACAAATGTTTTCATTTCCCTTTAGTCTTGAAATATACCTACACAGTTTAAAACTCTTTTGGCAGCTGCTTTTTAAAACTTCATTCAGCATACTGAAGATATTATTCTGAAAATCTTTGTAGTTGAAAAGTCAGACTTCTTGTTAAACTGTAACCTTTTAAAGGTAATTCACCTTTTTCCTCTGGCTACTTTTAAAATTTATCTTCATCTTTGGTGTTCTGAAATTTTATTAGAACATACCTAGTGATGATTTATTTATATTTATCACATACGCAATTCATTTGGTGTCTTGAAATTTCTAGAAATATCTCCACAATAGTTTTTACAAACGATTTTAAATTTAGTAAGATTAGATTTAAGATATAATACATTTATATCTTATATATCTTAAATCTATTATTATATCTTAAATCTAATCAATTAAATGTAATCTAATTAAATCTATGTATTATATCTTAAATCTAATTTTTTTTTATTATTTCTGGAATATCCATATGACTATTATTAGAAATGGAAGCCACAATTTTTTTTTCAGTTTTGATTTTTGTATTTCATTTTTCTTTTTCATTTTCTCTTGGTAAACCTAATCAGTCAAATGTTACACATTCTCAGTCTATCTTCCATTTCTTTTAACCTCTTTTTTATATTTTCCATCTTATATCTTTAACTGCACTCTGAATAAGTTCTTCAAATTTATTTTCTAGTGAAAATTGCAATCTGCCATTTAATCCCTGGATTTGAGTTTTGTTATTACACTGAATATATAGTTTTTCATTTCAGGAAGTTTCACTTTGTTCAAGTATGCCTGTTGTTTTCTGATATTTTCTTACTAAATGATCTTTGTAATTTCACCTTTTATTCTTTAAACATTTTGTGCTTACCTACTCTATATTTCATGTCTGACAATACATATATAATTGCAGTTTGTGGAGTTCTAAGTATGCTTTCTTCTTGGTTGTTTCAAAATTAACTCGCCTGTTCAGATGTTTACTCTTCTTTCAGAGATTATACATTTTTTGATGTGGTAAAATATGACATAAAATGTTCCATTTGAACCATTTTTAACTGTACAATTCAGTGGTATTCAACAAATTCACAATATTCTGCACCAAAACCACTGTATATTTCTAGAAATTTTTCATCACACTAAGCAAATACTATAAACCTGTTAAGCAATAAATCTCCAGTGCTTTTCCTGCCAACCACTGGAAACCTCTGTTTTCTATCTCTACATTTTTGTCTGTTTTACATGGTTCATTTTTGTCCTTTTGTGTCTGGCTTACTTTATTTAAAATAGATGTTTTTAAGGTTTATCTATGTTGCAGTGTGTATCAAAACTTCATCCCTTTTAATGCCTGAATAATATTCTATTATATAAATATACATTTTTTATCCATTCATCCATTGATGCACACAGGTTATTTCCACCTATTGACTATTGTGAATAATGTTACTATGCACATTCATGTACAACTATCAGTTTGAGTCCCTCATGGTAATTCTACATTTTAACTTTTTGAGGAACTCTCAAACTCTGCTTTTGATGGAGGCTGCAACATTTTGCATTTGCACAAGTAATGCAAAAAGTTCCAATTTCCCCACATCCATTACAATTGATGTTATTTTTGAATATTTTTTAGTAGCCATTCTAGTGGGTGGGGAGTGGTATCTCATTGTAGTTTTGATTTGCATTTTCATAAGACTAATGATGCTAAGAATATTTTCATATGCTTATTAGCCATTTATATATCTTCTGTGGAACAATGTCTGTTGAAGTACTTTGACCATTTTTAATTGAGTTACCTTTTTGTAAGAGTTCTTTATATATTCTAGATGTTAAATCTTAAGATATTATCTGCAAATATATTCTTCAATTCTGTGGGTTGTGTTTTCATTATCTTGATAGTGTCCTTTGATATACAAAAGTTAATTTTTATGAAGTCGAATTTACCTTTTTTTTCTCTTAATTGTAGTTTTGGTATGATATTTAAGTAACTATTGCCAAATAAAGGGTCATGAAAATTTGTTCCTATGATTTCTACTAAGAATTTTGGAGTCTCACCTCTTCAATTTAGGTCTTTCATTCATTTTGAGCTATTTTCAGATACGCTGTAAAGTAAAGATTTCACGTCATTCAATACATTTGCATATCCAGTTTTATCAGCTCCATTTGTTGAACAACTTTCCTTCCACATTGAATAGCCTTGGCACTTTGTTATAAATCAATTAGTGATATATGCGAAGGTTTACTTCCGAGCTCTCATTTCTATTCTCTTGGCCTTTTTGTATATCCCTATGTGAGAACCATACTATGTTTTGTGTACTATAGTAAGTTTTGAAATCAGGACATGTGAGTCCTCCACTTTGTTTCTTGTGTTTCTTTTTGAGATTACTTTTTGCTATTCAGGGTATCATGAAAATCCATGTGAATTTTGGAATAGATAATTCTATTTTTAAAATCATGCATTTTTTTAAAAGGCCATTAAAAAATTGTGGGCTGGGCATTGTGGACCATGTTTGCAATCTTAGCACTTTGGGAGGTGAAGGCAGGAAGATTGCTTGAGCCCAGGAGTTCAGGACAGCCTGGGCAACATAGACCACATCTCTATTAAAAAAAATTATATATTAAAGAAAAATCAAATTGTATTGAACCTGTATGTCGCTTTGGGGACTATTGTCCTCTTAACAACACAGATGTCTTTTCATTTACTTTTTGTGTATCTATTAGGGTTCTCTAGAGGGACAGACCTAATAGGATAGATGTATATGTAAAGGGGAATTTATTAGGGAATACTGATTCACACAATCACAAGGTGAGGTCTCACAATAAGAAGTCTGCAAGCTGAGGAGCAAGGAAGCTAGTCCGGTTCCCAAAGCTGAAGAACTTGGAGTCTGACGTTCAAGGGCAGGAAGCTTCCAGCATGGGAGAAAGATGTAGGCCAGAAGACTAAACTAGTCTAGTCTTTTCATTTTCTTTTGCCTGCTTTTATTCTGGCTGCACTGGCAGCTGATTAGATTGTGCCCACCCATATTGAGGGTGGATCTGCCTTTCCCAATCCAATTATTCAAATGTTAATCTCCTTTGGCAACACCCTCACAGACACACTCAGGAGCAATACTTTGCATCCTCGATCCAATCAAGTTGACCCTCAACATTAACCATCACAAGTCCACCCCTTGTCAACTTGAACTCATACACATCTGAAATCATACATAATCTTAAGTAAAGACAATAATAAGGTCATAATTACACCTAACATAATACAACTGTCTTTTGTACAGTAGGAAATGCACCAATCGCTAACACAAATGCTATTACATAGTTAATAACACTTAAATGTTGATATGAAGTCAATAAATCTTATGTCACATGATAAAATAAAAAGGAAATAAATTGAAGATATTTTCTTAGTACAGTGTATACATGCACAAACATGTTCTTAACAAAATAAGAAGAAAATACTCATGACAATTACAGTCCTTGATTCTGCAACTGGTCACGTGGTTGTAGCTAATTTTGATGACCGCTTTTCTCTACTACCCATTCTGTATTCCCTTTACCTTCAGCACACACTTTAGCAGGTTGTGTTTTTTCACCTGGTGCAATGACCAAAACCTTCATTCCTGAAAGGTCTGGGCCATTTGTAGTCCTGCCTGGATTGGACTGTTGTAATTTCCCATTGACCTTAATCACAGGGCATGGTAATACTAAGAGATACCCTAAAAATGTTTCTGTATTCCACACATACTCTTCCTCACCTCCACTGTGGAGTAGTAGACTGATTTTAACTTGATAGCCCTGGTCAGTCACCCCAGACAACACTGTAATTCTCTTCTTAGCCTGTTGACATAGAGGTAGAAGGATCCCAAAGTGGCCAAGTGGCAATCTTAATGTACAGTTCAATGAAATTGTTGTTGTGTCTCCTGGTGGCAGCATTCCTCCATCAGAACTACAACCTTAAGTCCAGCAGAACATGATGTCGAGGAAACAGGAAGCAAAAATTTTGCTAGTGGGTCACTAGAAGTGATGATGAATGGTGCCACTTCCACTTCCACCCCTTGATTCCTGGACCCATGAATCCTGGCTACGGGAGAAACAGTACCATATATTGGATGCTGATTCAGAGCACACACAGCCTTCTGAAGAACTTTTCCCCAGCCCTGCAGAGTATTGTCACCTAGTCGGCATTGTAATTGTGACTTCAAAAGGCCATTCCACCATCCTATTAATCCAGCTGCTTCAGGATGATGGGGAACATGGTAAAACCAGTGAATTCCATGAGCATGAGCCCACTGCCACACTTCTTTAGCTGTAAGGTGAGTGTCTTGATCAGAGGCAGTGCTATGTGGAATGCCATGATGGTAGATAAGACCTTCGTGAATCCATGGATGTAGTCTTCGCAAAAGCATTGTGTGCAGGATAGGCAAACTCATATCCGGAGTAAGTGTCTGTTCCAGTGAGGACAAACCTCTGCCCCTTCCATGATTGAAGAGGTCCAATGTAATCAACCTATCACCAAGTAGCTGGCTAATTACCCAAGGAATGGTGCCATATCGAGGGATCAGTGTTGGTCTCTGCTGCTGGCAAATTGGGCACTCAGCAGTGGCCATAGCCAGGTCACCTTGGTAAGTGGAAGTCCATGTTGCTGAATCCATGCATAACCTCCATCCCTGCCACCATGGCCCCTTTGTTCATGGGACCATTGGGCGATGACAGGAGTGTCTGGGGAAAGAGGCTGAGTGGTATCCACAGAATGAGTCATCCTATCCACTTGATTATTAAAATCCTCCCCTGCTCAGGTCACCCTTCGGTGAGCACTTACATGAGATACAAATGTCTTCACAATTTTTGACCACTCAGAGAGGTCCATCCACATACCTCTTCCCAAAATTCTTTTGTCACCAATTTTCCAATCATGCTTATTCCAAGTCCTTGACCATCCGGGCAAACCATTGGCTACAGCTCATTAATCAGTATATAATTAAGCATTTGGCTATTTCTTGTTCCAAGCAAAGTGCACAATGAGGTGCACTGCTCAAGGTTCTGCCCTCTGAGAAGATTTCCCTCTGCCACTTTCCTTCAAGGATGTCTGAGAAAGGGACTACAGTGCTGCAGCTGTCCATGTTCAGGTAGCGCCTGCATATTGTGCAGAACCATCTGTAAACCAGGCCCTTGTCTTCTCTTCCTCTGTCAACTGATCATAGGGAACTCCACATGAGGCCATCAGTGCAGGCTGGGGGAGAGAAGACAGGGTGGCAGGGATGGGGACCATGGGCATTTGAGCCACTTCCTCATGTAACCTACTTGTGCCCTCAGGACTTGCTCTAGTCTTATCACATATGTACCACTTTCATTTGATGATGGAATGCTGCTGTGCATGCCCCACTTTATGGCTAGATGGGTCAGAAAGCACGCAGTTTATGATAAGCACTTCAGGTCTCATGGTAACTTGATGACCCATATCCAAACGTTCAGTTTCTACCAAAGCGCAGTAACAGGCCAAGAGCTGTCTCTCAAAAGGAGAGTCGTTATCTGCAGAAGATGGCAAGGCCTTGCTCCAAAATCCTAGAGGCCTCTGCTGTGATTCACCTATGGGGACCTGCCAAAGGCTCCAAACAGCACCTCTATCTGCCACTGACACCTCAAGCACTATTGGATCTGCTGGGTCATATGGCCCAAGTGGCAGAGCAGCTTGCACAGCAGCCTGAACCTGTTGCAGAGCTTTCTCCTCTTCTGGACCCCACTCAAAACTGGCAGCTTTTTTGGTTACTTGATAAATGAGCCAGAGTAACACTCCCAGATGAGGAATGTGTTGTATTCAAAATCTAAATAGGTTGTGCCTCTTTCTTGGTTGTAGGAGGGGCCAAATGCAGCAACTCATCCTTCAATTTAGAAGGAATATCTTGACAGACCCCACACCCCATAACCCCTAGATATTTTACTGAGATAGAAGGTCCCTGAATTTTAGTCAGATTTATTTCCCATCCTCTTGCACACAAACGTCTCCCAATAAGTCCAGTGTGTTTGCTACTTTTTGCTCACTGGATCCAGCCAGCATAATGTCATCAATGTAATGGATCAATCTTGTGGTAGGGAAAAGGAATCAAGAGCTCTTCAAACAAAATGATGACACAAAGCCAGAGAGCTGATGTACCCCTCAGGTAGGACAGTAAAGTTATGTTACTGGCCTTGCCAGCTAAAGGCAAATTGCTTCTGATGGGCCTTATGGACAGTGATGGAGAAAAAACCATTTGCCAAGTCAATGCCTGCATTCCAGGTACTGGGACATGTGTTAATTTGCTCAAGCAATGAAACCACATCTGGTACAGCAGCTGCAATTTGAGTCACCACTTGGTTAGGCTTACAATTATTCACTGTCTTTCTGCAAGCCCCACCTGTTTTCTGCATAGGCCAAATAAGAAAGTTGAATGGGGATGTGGTGGGAATCACCACCCTGCGTCTTTCAAGTTCTTGATGGTAGTGGTAATCTCTGCAATTCCTCCAGGGATGCAATATTGTTTTTGATTTACTATTTCTCTAGGTAGAGGCAGCTCTAATGGCTTCCATTTGGCTTTTTCCACCATAATAGTCCTCACCCTACCAGTCAGGGACCCAATGTGGTGATTCTGCCAGCTGCTCAGTATATCTATGCCAATTATGCATTCTGGCACTGGGAAAATGACAACAGGATGAGTCTGGGAACCCACTGGACCTACTGTAAGTCAGACCTCAGCTAAATCTCCATTAATTACCTGACCTCCATAAGCCCCTACTTTTACTAGAGGACGACAATGACGTTTGGGTCCCTGGGAATCAACATCAGGTCAGAGACTGTGTCCAGTCCTTGTAAGGTCTGATTATTTCCCTTTCCCCAATGCATAGTTACCCTGGTAAAAGGCTGGAGGTCTCCTTGGTAAAAGATGGAAGAAAAATTAACAGCATAAATTGTTGGTAGTGTAGTGGGGTCCTTCCCCAAGGGGAACTGGCTTCCCCTTCATTCAAGTGGTTCTGGGTCTGTAAAATGGTTCAAGTCTGGAAATTGATGGAGGCGCCATGATTCTCTATTTTTATAATTCAAATTTGTCTTTTGTTCACTTGGCCTGGAAGTTTTCTGCTTATATAAATTAAGTAAGAGTGCAGTAGGCTTCCTGTGAATTTCACTTCTAGGACCACTGTGATTAATTAGCCAATGCCAGAGCTCTACAAGAGTCAGACTATTCTGATTGCTGCTCTGCCTTTGCTTTCCATTATCGTACCTATGCCCACCTTGCCTTTGACGTTTGAGTGCTGCCACTTGGCCTCTGCCACCTCGGGATCCAATTATTCCCATTTTGTAGTTGAGTGACTGTGGTTCCTACTGCAAGATCTGGCATACAGAGAAGAGCAATAACAGAGCTCTTCAAGGATGCAGGTACTGTCCTCACAAATCTATTTAACAAAATATTGGTCAAGGGTATATCTTCTGAACCCTCCCAGCTAGGATGAGTAGGTCTAAATTTACTAATCCACTCCTGCATCCAAATCTCACCAAGCCTTTGGATCCCTTCCTCCACATTAAACCAAGGAAGATCAGGCATTTCCAGCTCATTCACAATATGCCATCTTTTAATCCACATTTTAGCTAACCAAGCAAATAAACTATTGGAACCTTTTTTAATTCCCCAAACTGCAACATTGAATGCAAAGCCCCTGCTTAGTGGGCCCAAATCAATAAATTCAGCCTGATCCAATTCTATGTTCCTTCCACCATTATTGCACGCCTTTAATATCCATTCCCATGCCTGTTCTCCAGATTTCTGCTTATAAAAATTAGAAAACTCAATCAGTTCTTTTGGAGTGTAGTGTACCTCCTCGTGTGTCACACTCTGAACCTCACCTCTGGGGCCCAGCCAGGACTTTAGTCTAGTTACAGGACTAGATGCAAACAGGGGTGTTGGGGGTGGCTCCTGAGGAGAATCAGCATTGTCTTGCTGACAACTGCCTCAGGGGAGGCCATCATTGTTGCCTCAGGCAGTGCAGGGTTTATCTCCTCAGACAAAGGTGGAAAGGCTGATGGCAGCATGGGTTGGGGCAGGGGGGATGTTGCCACTACTGGGGATAGGGAAGCTGTTTTTTGTTTTCTGGCAAAAAAGTCTCATCAGAGTTTACAAGCTCAATGTCCCCAGCCTCATCAGGGTCCTCTCACACATTCCCATTCTAAGTTTCAGGGTCCCATTCTTTTTGAATCAATGCCCTCACTTTAACAGTAGACACCTGGAAAGGCTGTGCATGCACCTTTTGTTGCAGGTCAGCTGCTTACATGATAAGAACTTGTGTCTGATTTTCCACAATTTCAGTTCTTTTCCTACAAGAGATAATACTCTCACTCAGAGCAGTCTTAGAAGGTTTAAGGCTCCGTGTCTGCTTCTGAAGCCAGGAGTTGGAATCCTTGAGTTCATCATTTTCTTTCATCCCTTTCCAGTGAACTCAGAAGCAACCAACCAACTTTATTATATCCTTGGTTCTCCACATATGATCAAAGGTATTATGTAGAGTAACTAACCTCCTTGCCTCTCATGAGCAGTGAAATCAGAAGTATCAAATGTGTTCATTATGCATAACTCTCCAAACAGTTCACGGTAAGGACTATCAGTGTTCTTCATACAGTTAGAAGTAGAGTCCTTAGCATTTTGAGGCCTAATCCATATTAAGTAGCCAACTCCAGAAACCCCAAAACCAACAAAATAACTCCATCTTGATATTCTATTGCTCTAGAACCACTTCTGGTACCAAAATTTGTATTAGTCAGGGTTCTCTGGAGGGATAGAACTAATAGGATAGATGTATATATAAAGAGGAGTTTATTAAGGAGTATTGACTCACACAATAACAAGGTGAGGTCCCACAGTAGGCCATCTGCAAGCCGCAGAGCAAGTAAGCTAGTTTGAGTCCCAAAGCTGAAGAACTTAGAGTCTGATGTTCAAGGGCAGGGAGCATCCACCACTGAAGAAAGATGTAGGACACAAGACTAAACCAGACTTGTCTTTTCACATTCCTCTGCCTGCTTTTATTCTGGTTGCACTGGCAACTGATTAGATTGTGCCCACCCATGTTGAGGGTGGGTCTGCCTTTTTCAGTCCACTGACTCAAATGTTAATCTCATTTGGCAATACCCTCACAGACACAGCCAGGACCGATACTTTGCATCCTTCAATCCAATCAAGTTGACATTCAATATTAACCATCACAGTCCCTAATTTCTTTCAGTAATGTTTTATGGTTTTTTGATGTATGTCCTTTACCTTCTTGGCTAAGTTTATTCATAAGTATTTTATTCTTTTTGATGCTATTGAAAATAGAATAATTTTTTAATTGTTACTGTATACAAATACAACTGATTTTTGAATGGTAACTATGTATTCTGAAACTTTGATACATTTGTCTATTATCTCTGACAGATTATTTTTTGTGTAATATTTAGGGTTTTCTACATATAATGTTAGGTCACCTGCGAAAACAGATAATTTTCCATGTAGTTTCCAATTTGGGTGCTTGTAGGTTTTTTTCCTGCATAATCTCCTTGTTAGGGCTTCCAGGACTATGATGAATAGAAATGGCTAAAGCAGGAATCCTCAGAAGAGCTTTCAGTGTTTCACAAATGAGTACGATATTAGCTGTGGGTATTTCGTTTATGGTATTTATTTAATCTTGGGAACATTTTCTTCCATTCTTAGTTTTTGAATGTCTTTATCCTGAAAGGATATTGTATTTTATTCAATGCATATTCTGTATCAATTCAGATAATGTGGCTTTATTTCTTTGGTCTGTTAGTATAGTGTATTACAGTGATTGAATTTCATATATTTAATCACTCTTGGATTTTTGAGATAAATACCACTTAGATATTATGTATAATCCTTCTAATATGCTGTTGAATTAGGTTTTCTAATATTATGCTTAGGATTTTTAAATTTATAGTCAAAAAGAAACTAGCCTGTAGTTTTGTTGTATTGTCTTTATATGGCTTTGGGGTGCGGTAATGTTAGTCTCACAGAATGAGTTTAAAACTATTTCCTGCTCTTCCACTTTTTTGAAAAGTTTCAAAGGAATTAGTGCCAATTGTTTCTTAAACGTCTGGTAGAATTTACCAATGAACCCATCTGATCTATCTTGGAATTTTATATGTTTGGAGGTTCTTGATTAACAATTTAATATGTTTACTTTTTACTGTTCTCTTCATATTTCCTATTTATTCTTGTGTCAGTTTTGGTAGTTTATCTTTCTAAAAGTGAGTTTATATCATCTAGGTTAGTCAATTTTCTGATATGTAAATGCTCATAATGTTTTTTAATCCTTTTATTTTTATGAAGTTGATAATAATGTTATCCTTTTACTTTTTATTGTATTAATTTGTCTTCTTTTTCTTAGTCAATATCTTTTCAAAAACTTTCAGTTTCATTAATTTTCTCTGTTGCTTTTCTATTATCTGTTACATTTACCTCCCTGCTAATATTTATTATTTCTTTCCTCTGCTAATATTTGGTTTAGTTTGCTGTTCTTTTTATAGTTTTTAGGCATACAGTTACGTTGTTGAATGGAGATTTTAATTTTTTTTTTTATTTAAGCATTTGCAGCTATAGATTTCTCAGCAGTGCTTTGGCTGCATCTCATAAGTTTTGATAGATTGTTTTGCATATTTCTTAACATTTTCCAATTACCCTTATGATTTATTCTTTAATGTTTTAGTTGTTTGAGAGGTTTTGGTTTAATTTCTGCATAATTATGAAGTTTTTAGATTTTCTTTAGGTATTGATTTCTAATTGTATTCCGTTATAATCATAAAATATTTTATATGATGGCAATATTTTAAAATTTATTAAAAATTGTTTGCGGCCTAAAATATGATCTGTTCTACAGATTTTCTGCATGCATTTGAAAAGAATGTATGGTCGTTTGGGGTGGAATATTCAGTATATATCTTTAAGGTCTAATAGTTTTATAGTATTATTCAAGTCCTCTACTTCCTTATTAAAGTTCTGTCTGGTTGTTCTATCCGTTATTGAACACGGAGCACTGAAGTCTGTTGTTGGGTTCATATATGTTTATAATTGCTATATCTTCTTGCCACATTTTGCCTTTTACCAGTGTATATCCTCTTTGTGTTTGTAACTTCTTTTTTACTTTAAGTCTGTTTTCTTTGCAATAATATAGCCACCCCAGCTCACTTTGATTTCTATTTTCATGAAAAATCTTTTTCCATTCTTTTAATTTCAACCTCTTTGTGCATTTGTAACTAAAGTGTGTCACTTATAGCCAGCATATAAATAAATCACGTTTCTCCATCATTTATGCCAATATCTGCCTTTCAATTAGAGAGTTTAATCTGTTAATATTTAAAGTAATTTTTGATTTGAAGGGGCTTACCTTTGCCATCTAGATATTTGTTTTCTGTATGTCTTATATTCATTCTACTCCTCCATTACTGCTTTATTTTTACTTTTTAAAATTTTAATGGTTCACCATTTTGATTTTCTTCTTTCTTTTCTTTATACATTTTACTTGTTTCTTATTGGTTACCATGGAGAATACAATTAGCATATTAAACTTAAGACAACTTAGTTTGAATAATACCAACTTAATTTCAGTAGTATAAAAACTGCTACTATATATCTCCTTCATTCTTCTTTTGTATTTTAATAGTCACAGATCGTATTCTTACATATTATGTTTCCTTTAACATAGATTTATAATTAAAATTTTATTAATTTAGACTTTAAATTGTAGAAGAAATAAAGGAGTCACAAACCCAAAGTATGATAATACCACCTTTCATATTTACCTATATAGTTACTTTTACCAGTGTTCTTTATTTCTTCATATACCTTGAAGTTTTTGTCTAGTGTTCTTTTATTTTAGCCTAAAGTATTCCCTTTAGTATTTCTTGCAGGGAAGTTCTACAATTAATAATCTGTGTCAGCTTTTGCTTATCTAGTTATATTTTAATTATCCTTTATTTTTGAAGAATAGTTTTGTGAAGTATAGAATTTTTGTTGCCAGTTTTATGTCTTTAGAACTTTAAATATGTCATCTCACCTCTTGCTTGCCTTTATGGATTCTAATAAAAAATCATTTGTTAATCTAATTGGAGATTTCTTTATGTGAAATGAATCATTTCTATCTTGCCACTTTCAAGAGGTCTCTTTGTCTTAGATTCCAACAGTTCGATTGTAATGTGTTTCAATGTGAGTCTCTTAGTTTTTCCTATTTGAAGTTCATTTAGCTTCTTTGGTGTGTAGATTCATATATTTTATCATATTTAACTTTTCATCCATTAGTTATTTATTTAAATATTTTATTTTCCCATTTCTCTTCTCCTTCTGGCATTCCCATAATGTATATGTTAATACACTTTTTGATGTTTGACATTTACTTCAGTTTCTGTTCGTTTCTTTCATTATTTTTTCTCTATATTCCTCACACTAGTTCATTTAAATTATCTTCAATTTTGCTGATTCATTTTTCTGCCTGCTCAAAGTTGTTGAATCCTTTTAGTGAATTTTTAATTCAATTATTGTACTTTTCATCTTCTGAGTTCCTGTTTTGTTTGTTTTTCTAATTTCTCTTTTTTATGTTTACCACTTTATTATAAAGAATATTGCAAAAGATGCACATAAATATATTCATAAGGCTAGGCATGTGGGAGGGGTGTGGAGTTTTTATGGCTCTCCTGGCATACCATCATTCAGGAAATTACATATGTTCAACTATTCAGAAGCTCCCCAGACCCTGTCCTTTTGAGTTTTTATGAAGGCTTTATTATATAGGCATGATTGATTAAACCATTGGCTATTGGTGATCATGGTAGTCTTTAGCCCCTGGAATTTGGGGAAATCTCTCAACCCTCTAATCCTGCCTTAGTGTTTCCCGTAACCAGCTCCTATCCTGAAGCTACCTTGGGGATGCCAGTCATCAGTCAACTTATTAGCATATACAAAGACATCACTTTGGAGTTTCTAAAGATTTTAGAAGTTGTATTGCTGGAAACAAGATTGAAGACTAAATATGTATTTTACAATATCACAGACTGCCCCTGGTCTTCAAATTCAAATCCCTTACATCAAAAGGACATACAACTCAGAGGACACTACCAAATTCTAGAATCCCATATAATCATTAGTTCAGTCCATTATATTGCATGAATCTCTTCCAGGGTAAGGCCATTAATGTTTACAGATATTCATTCAATCTTGGCAGGATACAAAAGCAGCAGTGGTCTTAGCAAACATAGCTTCACCCTTTCAGGCATCTGGCATACTTGAGCTAAGAGACAATATAATCTTTCTTTAAGCCTCTTTTGAGGTTTTAAAGTAATATAGGATTTCCCTCAATTCAAAACCCATTTATTCATCCCTTTACCCTCAGCTATTATTCCATCTCTCCATTAATACTCAGACTTCCACCTTTGGATGAGACATTAGAATAAGCAGTCGTGTTGATCTACGTTGCAAGCACTAGTCTAGCAGGTACCTCCTCCTCAGTCCATTCACATTTAGATAGCTATTGTTACCTCCAGAAAATGTAGCTACATTCACTGTTAACTCCAATTTTGCCAGATGTGGTGAAGGCAACATCCACCCACATCTGGCCTTTTGAAATTCTGACATAAAGCTTTAATACATAGTTATAGTTTCTTTCTTAAAAATCGTCTCTGCTTTCAGCACTTGTTTTTACTGCCCTGGTCCTAGAACCACTGCATCAAACAGGAGAAATATTTTTTTGAGGTTATGTAGGGAAAAAGTATAGTCCTTGTATTAATATACTCCTCTCTTGGCAAGGGTCACATAGTCACACTGGCATTCTTTCCCATCCCCTCTTCACAAAAACCACAGAAATGTGAAGGAATCTAACCAATGGGAACCTTCCCTTAACCCCACTTACGTTGAGTGTGGTCACACATTTATGAAGCCCTGTGCTCACATTCATAAGCCATTCCGTTATTCTTTTATCTCCCCTTGTTTTAGGCAGCCAATGTTTTCATTGCCTGTTTCACTTTTCTATCAAACTATTACTCTGAAAGGAGATATCTTTGCCCACTGTTGAACGTTATTGCCTGTATGGTGGGTCTCTCAGCCTGAAGTAATGATGCTTGCCCATTCACATCTATGCAATATCTTCTGTTCTGGTTTTCTTACAACACTCTGAACATTTGCATCTTCCACAGGATAATCAAAGCCTAGTCCAGAACCTGTTTCTTCCTGTCAAGACCCATTTGTAGCTCCCTCAGGTCTACCAGCTTCAGTCCCACTTGCCAGCTAGTTTTATGGCCTTCCCACCAGGGAATCTGCCACATAACCATTGGCAGGCTCTGTCTCCTTGCTGGCATACATAAGAATTTTTATTGTTGTTATGTGTCTAATAGGGTGTAAGAGAAACATGTCTAGATTAAGTTCATCTCTTAATTGCTGAAATATGCCTATATCCACTCATTTCATGGACCCAGGCAGCCACTTCAAGGGATCGCATGGTGGATGGATATCAGCTTGTCAATTCTAATTACGTTCTGAACCTGAAAAGGGGCTATTCTGATAAGCATAGACATGTTCTACTTTAATGAACTCCTCAAATTTCCATAAGGTCATATGGGCATCCCATTAATAAGCCAGATTTTCATTGCCCTTCTGCCTGATCATGTGGCCCAGCCATTGGCCACTGCCCATGAATCAATAAAAACCCAAGCACAGGGGCTTTTATTATTTATTAATTTATTTATTTTACAGAATGCAGTTCATCCCACCAGGGTTATTTTGTTGTTGCTGTTACCTTTTTTTATTGTTGTTGTTAAACTTGTTCGTTTTATTGGTGCATTTCCTGTAAAAATAATCTCTATATCAGTCTATCATATTTGACTTGATTTAGGGCATAAGAATTTTTTTTTATTATTTTATTTTAAGTTCTAGGGTACATGTGCACAAAGTACAGATGTGTTACATAGGTATACATGTGCCGTGTTGGTTTGTTGCACCAATTAACTAGTCATTTACATTAGCTATTTCTTCTAATACTATCCCTCCCCCTGCCCCCCATCCCATGACAGGCCCCCATGTGTGATGTCCCCCGCCCTGTGTCCAAGTGTTCTCATTGATCAATTCCCACCTATGAGTGAGAACATGTGGTGTTTGGTTTTCTGTCCTTGTGATAGTTTGCTCAGAATGATGGCTTCTAGCATCATCCATGTCCCTGCAAAGGACATGAACTCGTCCTTTTTTATGGCTGCATAGTATTCCATGGTGTATATGTGCCACATTTTCTTAATCCAGTCTATCATTGGTAGACATTTGGGTTGGTTTCAAGTTTTTGCTATTGTGAATAGTGCTGCAATAAGAATACATGTGCATGTGTCTTTATAGTAGCATGATTTATAATCCTTTGGGCATATACCCAGTAATGGGATGGCTGGGTTAAATGGTATTCTAGTTCTAGATCCTTGAGGAATCTCCACACTGTCTTCCACAGTGGTTGAACTAGTTTGCACTCCAACCAACAGCGTAAAAGCATTCCTATTTCTCCACATCCTTTTGAGTATCTGTCGTTTCCTGACTTTTTAATGATCACCATTCTAACTGGTGTGAGATGGTATCTCATTGTGGTTTTGATTTGCATTTCTCTGATGACCAGTGATGATGAGCATTTTTTCATGTGTCTGTTGGCTGCATAAATGTCTTCTTTTGAGAAATGTCTGTTCATATCCTTTGCCCACTTTTTGATGGGGTTGTTTTTTTCTTATAAATTTGTTTAAGTTCTTTGTAGATTCTGGAGATTAGCCCTTTGTTAGATGGGTAGATTGCCAAAATTTTCTCCCATTCTGTAGGTTGCCTGTTCACTCTGATGGTAGTTTCTTTTGCAGTGCAGAAGCTCTTTAGTTTAATTAGACCCCATTTATCTATTTTGGCTTTTGTTGCCATTGTTTTTGGTGTTTTATTCATGAAGCCCTTGCCCATGTCTATGTCCTGAATGGTATTTGCTAGGTTTTCTTCTAAGGCTTTTATGGTTTTAGGTCTAAAATTTTAGTCTTTAATACATCTTGAATTAAGTTTTGTATAAGGTGTAAGGAAGGGATACAGTTTCAGCTTTCTGCATATGGCTAGCCAGTTTTCCCAGCACCATTTATTAAATAGGGAGTCTTTTCCCCATTTCTTGTTTTTGTCGGGTTTGTCAAAGATCAGATGGTTGTAGATGTGTGGTGTTATTTCTGAGGCCTCTGTTCTGTTCCATTGGTCTATCTCTGTTTTGGTACCAATACCATGCTGTTTTGGTTACTGTAGCCTTGTACTATAGTTTGAAGTCAGGTAATGTGATGCCTCCAGCTTTGTTCTTTTTGCTTAGGATTGTCTTGGCGATGCAGGCTCTTTTTTGGTTCCATACAAACTTTAAAGTAGTTTTACCCAGTTGTGTGAAGACAGTCATTGATAGCTTGATGGGGATGGCATTGAATCTATAAATTACCTTGGGCAGTATGGCCATTTTCACTATATTGATTCTTCCTATCCATGAGCATGGAATGTTCTTCCATTTGTTTGTATCCTCTTTTATTTCATTAAGCAGTGGTCTGCAGGTCTCCTTGAAGAGGTCCTTCACATCCCTTGTAGGATGGATTCCTAGGTATTTTATTCTCTTTGTAGCAATTGTGAATGGGAGTTCACTCATGATTTGGCCCTTTGTTTGTCTGTTATTGGTGTATAGGAATGCTTGTGATTTTTGCACATTGATTTTGTATCCTGAGACTCTGCAGAGGTTGCTTATCAGCCTAAGGAGATTTTGGGATGAGACAGTGGGGTTTTCTAAATATACAGTCATGTCATCTGCAAACAGGGACAATTTGACTTCCTCTTTAACTAATTGCCCTTTATTTCTTTCTCCTGCCTGATTGCCGTGGCCAGAGCTTCCAACACTATGTTGAATAGGAGTGGTGAGAGAGGGCATCCCTGTCTTGTGCCAGTTTTCAAAGGGAATGCTTCCAGTTTTTGCCCATTCAGTATGATATTGGCTGTTGGTTTGTCATAAATAGCTCTTATTATTTTGAGATATGTCCCATCAATACCTTGTTTATTGAGACTTTTTAGCATGAAGGGATGTTGAATTTTGTCAAAGGCCTTTTCTGCAGCTGTTGAGATAATCGTGGTTTTTGTCGTTGGTTCTGTTTATGTGATGGATTACATCTATTGATTTGTGTATGTTGAATCAGCCTTGCATCCCAGGGATGAAGCCCACTTGATCATGGTGGATAAGCTTTTTGATGTGCTGCTGGATTTGGTTTGCCAGTATTTTATTGAAAATTTTCGCATCAATGTTCATCAGGGATATTGGTCTAAAATTCTCCTTTTTTTTGTTGTGTCTCTGCCAGGCTTTGGTATCAGGATGATGCTGGCCTCATAAAATGAGTTAGGGAGGATTCTCTCTTTCTCTATTATTGGAATAGTTTCAGAAGGAATGGTATCAGCTCCTCTTTGTACCTCTGGTAGAATTCAGCTGTGAATCCGTCTGGTCCTGGACTTTTTTTGATTGGTAGGCTATTAATTATTGCCTCAATTTCAGAGCCTGTTATTGGTAGATTCAGAGATTCAACTTCTTCCTGGTTTAGTCTTGGGAGGGTGTATGTGGCAATGAATTTATCCATTTCTTCTAGATTTTCTAGTTTATTTGTGTAGAGGTGTTTATAGTATTCCCTGATGTTAGTTTGTATTTCTGTGAGATCAGTGGTGATAACTCCTTTATCATTTTTTATTGTGTCTATTTGATTCTTCTCTATTTTCTTCTTTATTAATCTTGCTAGAAGTCTATCAATTTTGTTGATCTTTTAAAAAAACAGCTTCTGGATACATTGATTTTTTTGAAGGGTTTTTTGTATCTCTATCTCCTTCAGTTTTGCTCTGATCTTAGTTATTTCTTGCCTTCTGCTAGCTTTTGAATTTGTTTGCTCTTGCTTCTCTAGTTCTTTTAATTGTAGTATTAGGGTGTCGATTTTAGGCCTTTCCTGCTTTCTCTTGTGGGCATTTAGTGCTATAAATTTCCCTCTACACACTGCTTTAAATGTGTCCCATTATTTACCCTGTAGTCTTTCAGGAGCAAGTTAATCAGTTTCCATGTAGTTGTGCGGTTTTGAGTGAGTTTCTTAATCCTGAGTTCTAATTTGATTGCACTGTGGTCTGAGAGACAGTTTGTTGTGATTTCTGGTCTTTTAATTTGCTGAGGAGTGCTTTACTTCCAACTATGTGGTCAATTTTGGAATAAGTGCAATGTGGTGCTGAGAAGAATGTATATTCTGTTGATTGGGGTGGAGAGTTCTGTAGATGTCTATTATGTCCGCTTGGTGCAGAGCTGAGTTCAAGTCCTGGATATCCTTGTTAACCTTCTGTCTGGTTGATCTGTCTAATATTGCCAGTGGGGTGTTAAAGTCTCCCATTATTATTGTGTGGGAGTCTAAGTCTCTTTGTAGGTCTCTAAGGACTTGCTTTATGAATCTGGGTGCTCCTGTACTGGGTGCATCTATATTTAGGATAGTTGGCTCTTCTTGTTGAATTGATCCCTTTACCATTATGTAATAGCCTTGTTTGTCTCTTTTGATCTTTGTTGGTTTAAAGTCTATATTATCAGAGACGGATTGCATCCCCTGCTTTTTCTTTTCTTTTTTTTTTTTTTTTTTTTTTTTTGTTTTCCATTTGCTTGGTAACTCTTTCTCCATCCCTTTATTTTGAGCCTATGTGTTTCTCTGCATGTGAGATGGGTCTCCTGAATACAGCACAGTGATGGGTCTTGACTCTTTACCCAATTTGCCAGTCTGTGTCTTTTAATTGGGGCATTTAGCCCATTTACATTTAAGATTAATATGGTTATGTGGGAATTTGATCCTGTCATTATGATGTTAGCTGGTTATTTTGCCCATTAATTGATGCAGTTTCTTCCTAGCATCAATGGTCTTTACAATTTGGTATGTTTTTGCAGTGGCTGGTACTGGTTGTTACTTTCCATGTTTATTGCTTCTTTCAGGAGCTCTTCTAAGGCAGGCCCGGTGGTGACAAAATCTCTCAGCCTTTGCTTCTCTGTAAAGGATTTTATTTCTCCTTCATTTATGAAGCTTAGTTTGGTTGGATATGAAATTCTGGGTTGAAAATTCTTTTATTTAAGAATGTTGAATATTGGCCCCCCACTACCTTCTGGCTTGTAGAGTTTGTGCCAAGAGATCCTCTGTTGGTCTGATGGGCTTCCCTTTGTGGGTGACCCCACCTTTCTCTCTGGCTGCCCTTAACATTTTTTCCTTCATTTCAACCTTGGTGAATCTAACAATTATGTGTCTTGGGGTTGCTCTTGACGAGGAGTATCTTTGTGGTGTTCTCTGTATTTCCTGAATTTGAATGTTGGCCTGCATTGCTAGACTGGGGAAGTTCTCCTGGATAATATTCTGAGGAGTGTTTTCTAACTTGGTTCCATTCTCCCCGTTACTTCAGGTACACCAATCAAACGTAGATTTGGTCTTTTCACATAGTCCCATATTTCTTGGAAGCTTTGTTCATTTCTTTTTACTTTTTTTTCTCTATACTTCTCTTCTCGCTTTATTTCATTCATTTGATCTTCAATCACTGATACCCTTTCTTCCACTTGATCGAATCGGCTACTGAAGCTTGTGCCTTTGTCACATAGTTCTTATGCTATGGTTTTCAGCTCCATCAGGTCATTTAAGGTCTTCTCTATACTGTTTATTCTAGGTAACCATTCGTCCAATCTTTTTTCAAGGTTTTTAGCTTCCTTGCAATGGTTTCAAACATCCTCCTTTAGCTCGGAGAAGTTTGTTATTACTGACCTTCTGAAGCCTACTTTTGTCAGCTTGTCGAAGTCATTCTCCATCCAGGTTTGTTCCGTTGCTGGTGAGGAGCTGCGATCCTTTGGAGGAGAAGAGGCCCTGTGGTTTTTAGAATTTTCAGCTTTTCTGCTCTGGTTTCTCCCAGTCTTTGTGGATTTATCTACCTTTGGTCTTTGATGATGATGCTGGTGACCTATAGATGGGGTTTTGGTGTGGATGTCCTTTTTGTTGATGTTTATGCTATTCCCTTCTGTTTGTTAGTTTTCCTTGTAACAGTCAGGTCGCTCAGCTGCAGGTCTGTTGGAGTTTGCTGGAGGTCCACTCCAGACACTGTTTGCCTGGGTATCACCAGTGGAGGCTGCAGAACAGCAAATATTGCTGGATGATCCCTCCTCTAGAAGCTTTGTCCCAGAGGGGCACCCGCTTGTATGAGTTGTCAGTCGGTCCCTACTGGGAGGTGTCTCCCAGTTAGGCTACTTGGGCGTGAGGGACCCACTTGAGGAGGCAGTCTGTCCATTCTCAGTACTCAAATACCATGCTGGGAGAACCCCAACTCTTTTCAGAGCTATCAGACGGGGACGTTTAAGTCTGCAGATGTTTCTGCTGCCTTGTGTTTAGCTATGCCCTGCCCCCAGAGGTGGGGTCCGTCCAGTTCGAGCTTCTCCGGAGGCTTTGTTTACCTACTCAAGCCTCATTTGTTTATCTACTCAAGCCTCAGCCATGGCGGACGCCCCTTCCCTGCCAGGCTGCTGCCTAGCAGGTCGATCTCAGACTGCTGCGCTAGCAGTGAGCAAGTGGGCATTACCTTCTTTAATCAGACTGGCATCCTTCCAAATAGGATGTCATCTGTTCACCTCAGAATTGTCATTTACATCCCAAGCAGCTCTTTGTTAGTCAGAAGAGGGTTGTTTATAGGGCACTTTCAAACTTTTGATAGAATCCAGCAGCTTTGGACACAGTTTCTTAGTCATTTCTAGGGAAAAAGAGGTTTCCTTCTCAAGAGTATCTTCTTTTTGGATTCCCCAGGTAACAAGATTCTGTATAAACAATTTCAGTTTTATTATGAAACTCTTCTGGCCACTGCTACTATGTTAGAGTATTTCTCTGACATCACCCAAGATAGTTTGGTATTCGAGGTTTATAAAATGAAGGGTAGCTTCATTTCAATCATAAAGGGTAGCTTCACTTAATGTCCCATAGTAAAGCACCAAATGTCCTGCAAGTAAAAAGATTTTAATCCAAACTTCCAGGTAATCATCACAGAGAGGCACTCACCCACTTTTGCCATAAGCTCTACCTCTGCTAACACTTGTTGACCTAAATGGAAGAAGCTGGGGCAAAATTAACAAAAGTAGAGATTTTATTGGGTCCAAAATTGAGAATTTGCAACCTGAGAGCATAGATTCATATTGTCCTGAATATGGCAGGACAACTTCAATTGGCAGCAGTTACAGGTGGATTTGTAAAGAAAAGAAGAGTCAGTTTCTGAGTTGTTTCCCCGGAATTTACATTAAAATTACATAAGCTATTGATCAGCTATACATTGTTCTTTTTATCACGAATTCCAGGAACATAAAAATAATGGGTGAGACAGCTATTCAGAAACAAAATGACTTTTAAAAATTTTCTCCAGGCATAAGTGTGAGCAGAGGGAGATGACTAAAATCCTGTACTCATTTTCTCTTGGTTCTGCATACCTCACACAGTTCAGATTGCTCTGAGCTATTTTTCTTTTCTCTCACTGAACAGAGGGCTATTAAAGGGAGAGTTTATTCCTACCAGAACTCCAGCTTCTATTCTACATTCTGTGGGCTCAGAAAATCTTGCTGATTTCTGTTTAACATGATGTCCAATTAATATTGCTAAATTGGCATATTTATATTTCTTCTATTTTACACAACTGGGTAGGAGATTTCCCATTCAGATACAATGTCCATGCTCATTATACAATCAAGTAAAGGAGACACTACCACTTCATATAAATCATGTTCACATGTACAAACTCGCCTATAAACTTTTCATTTTATCAACTCTTACTTTCCCAACTGTAACCTCCATTAGGACTTTATCAACTGGTTTTTGTTTTATGATACTAGGTAGGAAAAGTGTTCCCCACTCAGATATAATATCCAGTTTCATAAAATGTTTAGCTAAAGGAGACACAACTTCTTTACATAAAACCTGTTAAAGCATTCCAACCTTTATAATTATATCAACCTTTACATTTTTATATTCTAGTCCTAGGAACTTCTCTTCTCCACCCCCAGATCAGTTTATCCCCTCTTGTGTAAGAAAGCTTTAGGTCCCCAGTGAAACTGCCTTTGAAAAAATTATAACTGAGAAAATTATGACAGTGAAAGAGATCGACCTAACTGACTCCATCTTGCTTCTTGTCTCTAAGCTGTCCTTGTCCATTCCTGGGCTGGGCATAGGCTGAACTAACTTTGGGAAAACTGAGTCTATAGTTTAACTTTCAAACAAAGATGATAACAGCTTATTTTCCAAAACAAACTCCCTTCCTGGCTGGGGACTAGACTGCTTTGCAGGGCTAGCAAATTAGCTACACAATTAGAAATTATGGTTGAGAAGTCATGCAGGTTCTGGCTGCAAGATGAGGAACCTCCCAAAATTGCTCCTGGAGATAACATCACTATTGTAAAACCCAAGATCAGTGCTTGAGATATTTTGCAGACCCTGTCCTCAATAGATCAGCTGGCACAACCCAGATCAATAAGCTGGCTCATCTGGTCTTGTGGCCACAATCCATAATCTGACTCAGCACAAGAAGACAGCCTTGATTCCCTATGACTTTATCTCTGACCCAACAAATCAGCACTCCCCACTTACTCTCCGCTACCCCCCAAGTTATTCTTAAAATAAACTCAGTCTCTGAACTTTCAGGGAGACTGATTTGAGTAATAATAACACTCCATTCTCCTGTTCAGCCAGCTCTGCATGAGTTAAACTCTTTCTCTATTGGCATTTCCCTGTCTTGATAAATTTGCTCACTCTGGGCAACAGACAAGAAAAACCCACTGGCCAGTTACACTCTCACAATCCATTTTAGTAAAGGCTTCTCAGAAATTTGATGATACAGATTTACAAAATGAAACAATTTTTTTTCACACTATACCCACTGGTTCCAATCATTACTTGGTTTTTCCCTTCCCCCACATTGACTACCTTCTTAGTAACCACAGGTCTTAGAAGTACTGTCTGTTGTCCCTGCATAATTTTTACCTTGGGCATCAGCTTAGAGGCTAGTGGCTAAAGCTCAGACTCACTGAAATCTGTGCTTGTGATAGAATAAAGGTCTTACTCAGTACTCTCTTTTAGTTTCATTTCAGCTTTCACAGATAACAACCAAGGGCTTGAATGTTTTGCTTTTTTTTTAACTAATAGGTTGTATCTTTTAATGCATCTAGTGAACTGTTGTGAAAAAATTTAATATCTGTAAAATCTCTGAGGAGATTTATTCTGAGCCAAACATGAGTAACCAAAGGCCTGTGACACAGCCCTCAGGAGGTCCTGAGAACATGTGTCCAAGGGTGGTCTGGCCATAAATTGGTCTTACACATTTTATGGAGAAATAAGTTATCAATCAATACATTTAGGATGTACATTGGTTTGGTCCAGAAAGGGGGGACAATTGGAAGTGGAGGGCTTTCAAGTCATAGGCGGACTCAAAGATTTTCTGACTGGCAATTGGTTGGAAGAGCAATTATTGATAGAAAGGAATGTCTGGGTTATGATAAGGGGTTTTAGAGACAAAGGTTTTGTCATGCAGATGAAGCCTCTAGGTAGCAGGCTTCAGACAGAATAGATTGTAAATATCTCTTATTAGACTTAAAGAGTCTGTTCTATCAGTAGTTCCAAAAGGGAGGAGGGTGTAATGAGTCATGTCTGGCTTCACCTTACCATCATGGCCTGAACAAGTTTCTCAGGTTAACTTTGGAATTCCCTTGGCCAAAGAGAGTGATTCATGCATATGGTTGGGGGGACCTTATTATTTTATTTTTGGTTTACAGAACCAAGTCCATGGGAGCTAGGTTCATCTCTGAATTCCACTGGTAAATTTTACCTTTAGTAACTAATTGCAACACATCCATGGCTCCAAACCATGGTGACCACATGTCCCCTAAGGAATCAAAGATTCCTTATCACCACCCTTTTATTCTTTCTCATCCCAAACCATCTGTTTCTGTGAGCCAGGACTATTCTAGTAAACCCCATTGACTCAGTTGAGAGTAGAAAAAACTCACACACAAACTCAAAGTGCAGTTTCTATTCTCTCATCAACAACAATCAACACAGAAGACTTCTGTGACAAAATGTGTGGGGATTTCTCTCCACCAACAAGCTAGCAATCACTTCTACAGTTCACATCAGCTAGGTTTCCTCTAATTCCGTTCTATTCTGACAATGTCTACTTGAATATAGTCTCAGATCCCACAAGCTGAGGTCTCAATCCCCACGACTGTATTCCCCCTTCACATGCCAATTGCAAGCTCCAGGTTGTTTTACCTGTACATCTTACCAACTGGTTATAAATCAGAGATCCCGTAACCCCCTCCTTTGGTTTGATCAATTTGCTAGATCAGCTTACAGAACCCAGGGAAACATTTACTTATATTTTCCATCTTATTATAAAGGATATCCCAAAAGATTGGCCATGGCAGAGAGGCCCACTGGGTTCAACCAACAGGACAAATGTGGCCAAGTGTGGTCGTCATGACCTGAAACTATGTGGCTCAGTTGGAACCTTATTCTACCCAAGCCAGCTCACCTCTGTGGCTAGCATCTTATAAAAAGATGCATATGGCAAAGCATATGGAAAGGAGTACAAAGCTTTCATGCCCTCACCAGGTGTGCCATCTGATAATTTGGTTCTGTGTCCCCACTCAAATCTCATGTTGAATTGCAATCCCCAGTGTTGGAGTTGGGGCCTGGTGGCAGGTAATTGGATTATGGGGTTGATTTCTATGGGTTTAGCACCATCCACCTAGTGCTGTCTCATGATAGAGTTCTCATGAGATCTGGTTATTCAAAAGTGTGTAGCACCTCCCCCTTCTCTCTCTCTGTCTCCTGCTCTGACCATGTGAAAACAATGCCTGCTTCCCCTTCACCTTCCACCACGATTATAAGCTTTCTGAGGCCTCCCCAGGAACAGAAGCCTGTACAGACCACAGAAACATGAGCCAATTAAACCTGTTTTCTAAATAAATTACCCAGCCTCAGGTACGTCTTTATATCAGTGTGAGAATGGACTAATACACCACCCTCCAGGAACCTTCATAGGTTCCACTATCTGAAAGCTCTTTCTATCTCTTTTCTGACGTTTGCTGTTTGTTCAGACATCGTTCTTCCAAATACCTTAAATTCATTTTCTATGCTTTCCTTTTGCTCTTTGAGCATATTTCAGACATTTTATTTAACGTATTTTACTATAAATTCAAATGTTTGGGCTTCCTCAGAGATGGTTTTTGTCAATTTTTTTTCCTGTGAGTGGGCTATGTGTTTCATTTTTCTTTTTTTTTTTTTTGGTATGCTTTGTAATTTTATTATTGTTGCTGTTGTTTGGAACTGTATATTTTGAATATCATAATTTGGCAATTCTGGAAATCATATTTTCTTATTCCTAAGGGATTACATATTTTTGTTTGCTGAGAGATGCCATTATACATTTGTTCAGTGATTTTTCCAAACTATTTTTGCGAAGTTTGTATTCCTTGTTGTGTATGGTCACTGAGATTTCTGTTTCATTATCTCTGCCATAAGCCAGTGCAGGTTCAAGGTAGAAATCCTAAGCCAAAAATTTATAAGCCTGAAGTCAGCATTTTCTTTCATTAAACTCTCTACTATGGTCAGAAACAAACATCTAACCCTCAAACCTAGATTATTCATTCCAAAAATAACAGTCTATCACAATTGCTATTCATTACAGTTATCAGTAAAACCGTAACTATTTGCCACTGTGTCCTATGAACTAACAGTGATACATTTTCCAATAGTAACAGGATTGTCATAGCTTTATACATGCCAAGGCCAGATAACCAATACTAGATTACCAATTTTGAAGTTTTATTGCCTATAATTACTTCTAGTATCAAGCACTGTAGTATCAATCAGGGCTCAGTTTAGGTAATAGAAGTCACTTAAAAAAAAGAAATTGAACATAATAAATTTAGTATTTATGAGGTTACTGCAAGAATTAGAGAGTAAAGATTAAGGCTGTACCTCCAGAAACAATACCTACTACTCCTAAGAAAATATATCAGAATCACTACTACCTTCATCATAATCACAAAGGTAAGGAATCAGAAAGCTTGGCCCTAAAACATGAGCTTTAATGTAATCTTATTGAAGCCATGATCCAGGGATTAGAAAGAATGTTTAGGAAGCTATGACTACTACTATAATTACTACAACTGTGGTAGGCCGGGTCGCCATGAGGAACCAGAGAGGTCAGCCTTCACCAACACCCTTCAGTTACTCTGATAAAAGTGTAAGTTAAACACTAAAGAACTGGAGAAACTAGCACCTTAGAACAAAGGCTAGAATGTAAAACAAGGCATTTAACACCCCACCTGGGCTTCTCAGAACTTAGAGTTTGATTAAAATAATGGAAAAGTTCTTACACACTTTGTACACCTTGTACCAGGATCCACTTTAGATTAAGTAATTCTTCCAAAGCTCTAAAGAAATTTTTCAGATCCCAGCCCCTAGTTAAAGATTAAACAGGGTGAAACACTTTGGCTTGCAGGTGCACTCTCACACATAGGCATATGGTCTGAATTTATATGAGCACTGAAGAAAAACCTTGTAACTTTTAGTTGGTCTGGTGAGTTACTCCGACCTTCTGTCTGTAGCCAGTTGGAGAAATAAACTCCCTTCTTTCCCAGTCTGTCTGCGTCTTGTTATTGGACCACAAGAACAAGCAGACAAACCTTGTCCTGTCTGGGAACATGACTGTCTAGGAAATGAAATGTGAAATCTAGCCACCATGATAGCCTGTATTTTTCTCAACACTCATGATGCTTATAAACAGATTAAAAAATGTTAGTCCATTATTATTGCTGTAACTGCCACTTTCATTGCTAAAACTGGAAATTGAACAACAGAATCTTCACATACATTGTTTGCCAGCCAGAAAATGGCAAAAGTTATTTTGGAAGGTCTATGCCTTATTTCAGCCCTCAAATCTTATGTAACTGCAACTTATTAGTAAAACTTAATTTGACTCTATGATAGCTTTCTATTACTACATAACAAGTTACTACGGTTTAAAACAACATTCACTTTTTAGCCCGCATTTATGTAGTTCAGAAATCTGTCATGTCATAGTTGATTTCTCTGCTCAGCATATTACAAGGCTGGCATCAAAATGTCAGTCTGAGTTCAGGTTTGGAGGGTTTGGAAACCTATGTAATTCTAGCTCATTCAGGTTGTTGGCAAAATTTAGCTTCATGAGGTTGTAAGACATAGGTCCACATTTCCGTAATGGCTGTCAGTCAGGGGTCACTCTTAAGTCCTAGAAGCCACTCTCTAGTCCTTGCACACGGTCCTGCTCCTCTTCAAAGCCAGAAATGTGAGTCCATTAAATCTTTCTCCTGCTTCAAAGCCTTTCGATATTCTTTTCTACATTTAAACAAAATGTTTTGCTTTATGCTAGCCAAAATAAGCTAGACACATAAAGAAAAATATTGTATAATCTCACATACATGTGGAATCTAAAAAAGTCAAACTTACAGAAACAGAGGGCAGAATGTGGGTGCTAAGAGCTGGGGTTTGGAGGGAATGAAGGATGGTCAAAGTGTATAAACTTCCAGGTATAAGACTATCATGTTCTGGGAACCTAATGGATCCTATCTGTGTTGATAGATGTATTAATTTATTTGATTGCAACAATTATTGCAAAATATATGCATATATCAAAACATCATGTTTTACACTTCTAATGCATACAATCTTTGTCAATTAAATATTTTAAAAGAAAGGAGGGGCTCACTTGCTTGGGTCGTGTTCACTCAGATAATCACCATATATTAATGTCCATTAACTTAAGACTTAAATTACACCTATAAAATGGCTTCGCAACCATACCTAGATTAATATTTGATTCAGTAACCAAGAATGAAATCTTGGGGCCAGAGAGAGCAGCTAGAATTCTGTCTACTATAGCCGACATAACCGTAGTTGCAAGGAATATCTGGAGATATATATTTCCAGTTACCGTAGTACTAAAAATATCACACTACAAATAACTTTGAATTTTGTCATTTGAACATTTCCAGCCTAGGATGTTTGGAATAAACAGGAGATATATTTTTAAAGTGGTGTATTTATGAAACTGCAAGAAGTTTAGTATGATTATATTGAAGGGTAGCCACATGATGAGAGAAAGAGGAAAAAAATGAGCCTCTAAATGTGGCTTGGGGAAAATTGTCAAGAACTATGTATGAATTTGTAGGAATGTTGAACTTCTTTCTGCAGACAATGGAAAGTTGTGTAGGCTAGAGTTTAAAATAATAAATATTGAATTGGTATCAGAATCAATAAATATTGGTTTACATTCCAGTTGCAACACTTACTAACTTTATTCATCTGCTCAGATTATTTGAATTTTCTGAGTATCAATATCCTTGTATATAATGGAGGATGATAACAGTAATCTATTACTTGAAGAACATTTTTAAACAACTACACGTCAAGTGAATAGAATACACATCGCACTTCAACATGCTAACTTTCATTGACATTAAATATATTGAATAGGAGAGTTATGTTATCTATTATGTGTTTTTAAAATAAAACTCAAAAATTAATTTGGACAATAGGTTATCATGAAGAAAAGATCAGAAACAGTTAGGCAAGTTAGCAAAGGTCCTAATAAGAGATGAAAATAATATGTAAGCTAAGACACTATTGATGAAAATAAAGAGGAAAAGACAAAATCACTTCAGAAGTAGATTTAGGTTTTCTGTGTTAATTTATTTAATTCACAGATGTTTTCAATCAGCCAAGCATAATGCCTACTAGGTCAAAGCTCATTCTACGCACGATTGCGAGCAAGACTCCTGCTGGAGGAAGTGACCCCTGGTATTTTCTTGATTATGTTCTTCCCACATGATGTTTCATTTTATGCTTCTCTACAACCAGTACGCCAAAACAGGAGATTAGACTACAAATGGTCACTTGACCAAGAAAAGCCATTTCCTATACTAATCAGTAGCCCATGAGACGACAAAACAAATAATTCTGGCTAAATATAGATAAACTGGTCCAATCAGATTATGTTTTAAGGAACTTAAACTAGGAGTCCAAAGAGAATGGGATAGTTAATATGGGGAAGTAAGACTGAAACTATGCACAAAGAGGGGCAAAAAGGCAAGAAGGACCATGAGAAATAATAAAGTTAATGGGTCAAAATGATAAGCACACGGAAATTTTGAGTAAATTGGGGCTAATTTTGTAGGACATCAATCTTACACACAAAATGAATTCATGAAAAAAACAAATTTGGGGATATTGGGGTATGGTGAGTTATGCATAGTAAATCTGGTTAATATCAGCTCAAATAAGAAATATATTGAATGGGGTAAAAAATCAATGCATAGAATATGACATGAATAGATACAAATAAAATATCAAAAACCAGAAGAGTACCTGAGTTAAATTAATAATTGAACATTAAATTGAAAATCCATTCGAAATTGCTGCAGAGATTTCTAGAATAGTCTTTGACAGACCATAATATAGTCTCAGAAATATGCTATGATTCCTATCTCTGTGAAATATGACCAATGTCTTTTGGGCTTTTTATGAGTCTCAGTACATGTTTCTGCATATGTCTCCTTACATTATGCTTATAACTTGAACTAGTCATTGAGAGACTCTGTTCCTTTCAACTAGAATAGATACATATAAAATAATGAAGCTTTTACCTGCCTCTCTCTTTGGTATTATATTCTATTTATTAGTCTTTCTATTCCTTTATTTATTTATTTATTTATTTATTTTTTTGAGACAGAGACTTGCTCTGTCGCCCAGACTGGAGTGCAGTGACGCGATCTCGGCTCACTGCAACCTCCGCCTCTCAGGTTCAAGCGGTTCTTCTGCCTCAGCTTCCCAAGTAGCTGGGACTACAGGCGCGCGACACCATTCCCAGCTAATTTTTGTATTTTTAGTAGAGGCAGGGTTTCACCATATTGGCCCCAGGCTGGTCTCGAACTCCTGACCTCGTGATCCACCTGCCTCGGCCCCCCAAGGTGCTGGGATTAAGGGCGTGAGTCACCGCGCCCGGCCCCTATTCCTTGAATTTTTAAAATCTCCCTGTGTCAGGTTTTCCTTCTTTATCTACAAACATGGCTCAGCTCTTCCTAAACCAAAAAATCATTTACAAACTCCTATCACCTCTTCAACGTACTATCTTGTATATTTTTCATAGTTCCACATTTCCTCCAGAGAAGATTCCACACCAATTTTCTTCACTTTCTCACCACCCGTTTATAATTATGCTTTTTACAATCAGTCTCTTTACACCACTGCTCTACTGAAACTGCCTTATGAGATACTACAAATGAGTTTCCGGTTTCCGGATCCAATCACCTTTGTTGGTATTCATTCTTCTTGACATTTCTGCAGCATTTGACCCTGTTGATAATGCCATACTTCCAGGAATTTCTCTTACTTTGCCTTCTATAATACTATACTCTCCTCATTTCTATCTGACTGATTCTTCTGTATCCTTCTGCAGCTTCTCTTACTCTGTCAGCCTGCTAAATATATATGACACAAATTGCACTATCTTATTATCACATTTGCTGACAAGGTTTACTCCAGTCTCCCTACAATGAGTGCCCCGATAATTTTTCAGAAAACCTTATGAGTGCTCCACTCCTAATGTATCCGCATTATTCTATTAGGTGCTACATAATAATCACTGCCATTCAGCTAAGTACAGTAGTTCTCTAATTCTAATGGTTGCCGCTCTGCCTACTGCAGCAGGCATTACTTCAGTACCATAGAACAGACTGTTGCCACTGATACAACGCCCCTGCTTTTCTGGTTTATTGTAGTCTTTCTACTTTATCTGCTAGGCACAACAGTTATCTTTCAGTTGCCAAAGCTAAAAACGTTTGCATGGCAGTGTGATGAAGAGTAACTCCTTATTTCTTTCACAATTTGTTATGGAAATTCCTAAGAATTATTCTTGTGTGTCTATATCTTAAAGAACATTCATTGAAAGATCTCTCCATAGGTCTCAGACAATCTAACTGAATTAGGGTGAGGAGACTAAACATAATAATGGCAAACATTTGTTAAGGACTTAACAAGTCTCAAGAACTGTCTTATATACTTACTGTATTTTAACTTTTTAAATTACTACAACTAACTTCTGGTGTAGTATTATTTTCCCAATTATACATTTAAAGATAATAAGACAGCCAGGTGTGGTTGTTCACGCCTGTAATCCCAGCACTTTGAGAGGCTGAGGCATGTGGATCACTTGGGCTCAGGAGTTCAAGACGAGCCTGGTCAACATGGTGAATTCCCATCTCTACCAAAAATTCAAAAATTAGCCGGGCATGGTTGTGCACTCTTGTAGTCCCAGCTATTTGAGAGGCTGGGGTAGGAGGATGGTTTGAGCCCAAAGACAGAGGTTGGAGTGAGCCGAGATAGCGCCACTGCGCTCCATCTTGGGTGACAGAGCCAGACCCTGTCTTAATAATAATAATAATAATAATAATAATAATAATAATAATAATGAAGATACTAAGAAGCAGAGAAGTTAAGATACTTGCTCAAAGTAACCCAGCTAGTAAGTGACAGGCAGGAATTCAAACCCACACACTTTGGCTCTAGAAACTATATTCTTAACAAGTAGACTTTACCACTTCTCAAAATTCATACTGAGGACACAATGTTTTACTTAGATTATTATTACCTAAATTAACTAAGTATTGTTACTGGATCAAGCATAGGGTTTTTAAGCCTCCCTGACAGAAGACTACTATTGGAAGAGCTCACCAGTTTGATGGACATGCCAAATTCTATCCAAGCTGTTTCCTCAAATTTTACTCACACAAATACACTTTGTGTGCCCATCGCATGAGCTATTTAGACGTTTGCTAGATATGTCCTGATGACTCTTACCCGCAATATGGATTCTACTACTTCTGTATATTTCTTAAGATTTTATTCACATTTTGTTTTAGAATCTATTAATCAGAAAATATATCTAGATCCATAGCTTCAACTATCACCTCTATGTAAATGACTCTTATATCTCTATCTTCTGTCCTAACATGTCTCTAGATCAGGAGACCTACACATCCAACTGCTTCACTGATTATTTCTACCTCATGAGCACAACAAATTCAACATTTTGAAAATTGAAATCCCCATTTTTGTGCTCAAGGTAATTCATTTTCCTGATATTTAGTTTATTCTAACAGCTCTAACCAGGCTTGAGATCTCTTTATCATCTTTGATTCCACCCTATCTACTATTCCTTATAGCCAAACAGTTGTTGAATTGTATTGATTTCAGTTTCCACAAAAAAACTCTTTATTCTTCTCCGTTTCCTCTGCCACCACTCAAATTCAGGCTTGATTGACTCAGTCATGTGCTATTGTAAGAGGTTTTTAACTGATCTCCATGTCTTCTGCCTCCCAACTTATAAATTATACCACCCTGCTATCAGCATAATTTCCTTTCAGTAAGTATTGACCTACTCAAACACATTCATTGCTCCACAGCTAATTATAAAATTAACTCAGAATTCCTCAATTTTCTATTCAAGACTCTTATCATTTTGTTTCAAACTATATTTTCAGGGTTTTAATTGTCTAATCTGCTAGATTCTCTACAAAGCATCACACCACAGACATACTGGGTGCTTTCTGCCTCATGTTTTGCTTTGTCCATGCATATTTAACTCCATCCTTTTAGAATGTCTTATATCCCCACCCTGAATGTCACATGTCAAAATTCTGCAATAGTATCTGACCACCTCTTTAATGAAAGCACTTTTGATCCCTCTAATTAGATGCAATCATGTCTTCATTTGTTTCCATATCATTTTGTACATTTTTACGTGCCACTTGTCTCCATCCTGATTTTTTATTTTTACATTTTTTTACTTATCAGCCTTCCTTCCACTCCCACCTTATAGATCCACCTCCAACTTCATCCCAGCTAGTATCTGAGCATTTTGAGACTCTAGATGATCTTACTTATGTCTGTGTTCCCTGTAGTGATTAACAGATTTATTATAAATAGAAAGTAATCAGTGGAATCATTTAGTTGAATGAAAACTTCAAATAAGTAAGACTTACGTATAAACTGGAAGTGTAAAACATCTGTTAGTCCACATGAAAGGAGAGGAAGTCTAATAGTTTCTTGAGTAGAACCAGAGTGGCAACAAATAGAGCTACACTATGGGCTGCCCCCTAATATTTTTTATAGCACAGTCCAAAATGCATCACTATATTAATTAGAGTTCTCTAGAAAAAGAAAATTAATAGGGGAGATATAGATAGATAGACAGATAGATATAGACATAGATATAGATAGATACATAGATAGATAGAGATGTAGAGACACTGTTGACAGTTCCTACCCAAAAAAATTCTGTACCCAGATACATAATTTTATTAAAAACTAATACAATTTTTATTTCACCAAATTTAGAATAATGAAGGGAGACTCTGCCTGCCAAAGATATCACAGAGGAAATCAACAGAACTTACTGGACAATAGAAAAGTCAGGAATTCTGCTTTATTGCAGTTATAATTTTCAATGTTATTTAAATCTTAGCCCTTCCAACTGCATTGAGGAATGCACTATTTTTTTTAAAATAAACTAGACACCACCAACATTTACTTTTCACATATTGCAGAGAAAAGAAATAAACAAATCAAATGATTTCTTCTACAGAAGACACAAAAGCAATATATCCAAGCTTCAACATGGCAGAAACAGAGAAGACTGCAATCTCTTTTTTCTTCAATGGTGTTTCTGTTTAGGCAGCTTTTCTGTCAGAGAAAGAATAAGTAAATATATTTAGTCCATTTTATTCTGGGTTGTAAATTATAATTCTGATTTATGTGGAAATATTCAAGAGGCAATTTATATGCAAAGTAAAACATGAAGAATCAGAAGTTTTTCTTAGTCGGTGATTTATCAAAGATTGAATCTCAGTGTTACTGCGTAAACCATGTGTTTTTAGATAAATGAAAGTCATATAAAGCAGCAGGTTTTAAAAATCTATTTTGTTTGTTTTAAATAATAATTATTAGTTGTAGGTCAATGAAGAGTGATAAGTTAGGTATACATTAAACAATTAACTATTATTTATTTCTTTGTTTATTTTTCTTTGTAATTAATCTTTCTTAGGTTACTATATAAACACCAATCAACACTATGAATTGTTTTATTTAACCTCGAAATGCACTAGCCACTGCCTTTCCTTTTTGCAAACAGGAAAATAAGCTGTGGAAGGTAGCTTTTACTTCTGGTTTATCGTAGGCTAGAAGATGATACACATAAAGAAAGCTTCCGCAACATTTTTTTCTATAAAGATGTGCCTGTACAATAGCAAAACTGGCAGGCTTAACTTTGCTCTTATACATGAAAATAAACATCTAGCAAAGGGGCAGAACAAGGAGGCTAAATAGAAACCTCCACCAATTTTACCCTCCACAGGAACACCAAATTTAATAATTATCTACATAAAAAAAAGGAAGTTCATAAGAACCAAAAATCAGGTAAGCAATCACAGTACATAGTGTTAACTTCGTATCACTGAAAGAGGTACTAAAGGCGGTAGGAAAGAGAGTCTTAATTTTTGATGCTACCCCTCCTGAATACTCTGGCAGTGGCTGTGTGGCCATGAGAATCCGTTTCACTTGGGGAAGGCAAAGTGCAACAACTGTAAGAAATTGCATTGAATTCAGTGCTTCCCTGTCACACAGAAAAGCAAAACTGTGCTAAACTCAGCTGACAACTACCCATGGAGGGAGCATTTAGACCAGCCCTAGGCAGAGGAGATTAGATTCACCCATCCTAGTGATAGGAACTTGAGTTTCAGCAAGCCTTGCCACCATGGGCTAAAATTTCTCTGGGGTCTTAAATAAAAGGCAGTTTAGGTCACAAGGACTGTAATTTCTAGGCAAGCCCTAGTGCTGAGCTGGACTTGGAGATAGTGGGCTTAGGTGGCACATGACCTAGTGAGACATAAACAGGGTGGCTAAGAGAGTGCTTGTGCTACCCCTCTACAAATTCCTCACAGTTCAGCTTGCAGCAATGAAAATGACGCCTTCCTTCTCCTTGAGGAGAGGAGAGGAAAGAGTAAAGAAGACTTTGTCTTGCAACTTGAATACCAGCTCAGCCACAGTCTGATATAGCACTGGGCAGAGTAGTGAGGCTCCCATTCCAGGCCCTAGATCCTGGACATTTCTAGAAACACACTGGAGCAGAAGAAAACCTGCTGCCTTGAAGGGAAGAACCAAGTCCTGGCACTATTCATCACCTGTTGACCAAAGGGTCTTTGTTCCTGAATAACCAGTAGCAAGATCCAAATTTTACACACCATGGGCCTTGGGTGAAACTCTGAGGTGTGCAAGCTTCTGGTGAGACCCAGCACATTCACAGCTCTGGTGGCTATGAGGACAGACTCCTGCTTGAGAAAAGCAGAGGGAAAAGTAAAGGGGAATTTATCTTGCATTTTAGATACCAGCTAGATCATAGCATAGAAGAGCACCAAGAGGGAGCTTGGGATCCCTGATTCAAAGCATTGGCTCTTGAATGGTCTTTCCAAACATGCTCTGGGCCACAGGGGAGCCCACTGCCCCAAAAGGCCAGTCCCAGGCCTGGCAGAATTCACCACAATATGACTGAGGAACTCTTGGAATTTATGGAAACATCAACGGTAACCTGACAGTACTCTCCAAGGGTCTGTGGTAATGGTGGCCATGGGATGAGACTCCTCTAACTATGGAAAGGGGAGGGGAGAGTCGGAAGGACTTTGTCTTGTGGTTTGAGTGCTAGTTTAGCCACAGTAGAACAGAGTACCAGGTAGATTCCTAAGTTTTTGGCTCCAGTCCCTGGCTCTGAGACAGCATCTCTGGACCTGCCCAGGGCCTAGAAGAACTCACTGTTTTCCCTGAAAGGAAAGACACAAGTCTGGCTGGCTTCAGCAGCTGCTAATTTTAAAGCCTAAGGACCTTGAATGAACATAGGTGGTAAGCAGGTAGTAGTTACAACAGGTCTTTGCTAAAACCCAGTGCTGTGCTGGCTTCAGGTCTGACCTAGAACAGTCCCAGTGGTGGTGGCCATGGGGGTGCTTGTGTCACCCCACACCCAGCTACAGGTGGCTCAACATATAGAAAGAGAGATTCCACTTGTTTGAAAGTAAGAAAGGAAAATAAACAAGATTCTCTCTTGAGAAGTCCAGAGAATTCTTCCAGATTATATCCTAGTCCAAGAAGTGGTACCTCCATGAATCTGTAAGAACCACAGCATTACTGAATTTGGTGTTCCCCTTAATGTACATATGGTTTAGATTAAAACATTCAAGTCTGTTTGAATGTCTTGAAACCCTTCCCAAGAGGGACAGCACAAACAAGCACATACTGAGAATACTACAGTAAATACCTAACTGAGAGGTGACAATGTGCTGATGGCCCTCGCTCGCTCTCAGCGCCTCCTTGGCCTCGGCATCCACTCTGGCCATGCCTGAGGAGCCCTTCAGCCTGCCTCTGTACTGTGGGAGCCCCTCTCTGGGCTGGCAGAGGCTAGAGCCGGCTCCCTCTGCTTGCGGGTAGGTGTGGAGGGAGAGGCACGGGCGGGAAACTGGGAGCGACACTTGCGGGCCAGCGTGAGTTCTGGGTGAGCATGGGCTCAGTGGGCCTCACACTCAGAGTGGCCAGCCAGCGCTGCTGCTCCAGGCAGTGAGGGGCTTAGCACCCGGGCCAGCAGCTGTGGAGGGGCACCGGGTTCCCCAGCACTGCCGGCCCATCCACGCTGCACTTGAATTCTCGCCGGGCCTCAGCATGGCTCAGGACCTGCAGCCCGCCATGCCTGAGCCCCCCAACGGTGGGCTGCCCCACGGCCCGAGCCTCCCTGATGGGCACCGTCCCCCTGCTCTGCAGCACCCAGTCCCATCAACCACCCAAGGGCTGAGGAATGCAGGTGCATGGCATGGGAATGGCGGGCAGCTCCACCCGCGGCCCTGGTGCGGGATCCACTAGGCAAAGCCAGCTGGGCTCCTGAGTCGGGTGGGGGCATGGAGAACTTTTATGTCTAGCTAAAGGATTGTAAATACACCAATCAGCACTCTGTGTCTAGCTCAAGGTTTGTAAACGTACCAGTCAGTGCTCTGTGTCTAGATAATCTAGTGGGGACTTGGAAAACTTTTATGTCTAGCTAAAGGATTGTAAATGCACCAATCAGCATGCTGTGTCTAGCTCAGGGATTGTAAACACACCAATCAGCACGCTGTGTCTAGCTCAGGGATTGTAAACACACCAATCAGCACCCTGTCAAGATGGACCAATCAGCTCTCTGTAAAATTGACCAATCAGCAGGTTGTGGGTGGGGCCACATAAGAGAATAAAAGCAGGCTGCTGGATCCAGCAGTGGCTATCCACTCGGGTCCCCTTCCACATTGTGGAAGCTTTGTTCTTTCGCTCTTTGAAATAAATCTTGCTGCTGCCCACTCTTTGGGTCCACGCTGCTTTTATGAGCTATAACACTCACCATGAAGGTCTGCAGCTTCACTCCTGAGGCCAGCGAGACCACGAACCCACCGGGAGGAATGAACAACTCCGGACAGGAGGAATGAACAACTCCAGACGCGCCACCTTAAGAGCTGTAACCCTCACCGCGAAGGTCCGCAGCTTCACTCCTGAATCCAGCGAGACCACGAACCCACCAGAAGGAATAAACTCCGAACATGTCTGAACATCAGAAGGAACAAACTCCGGACACACATCTTTAAGAACTGTAACACTCACCACGAGGGTCTGCGGCTTCATTCTTGAAGTCAGTGAGACCAAGAACCCACCAATTTCGGACACATAACTACTCGATGCACAGACAACAGTTAACACCCACAGGCATCAAGGCTATCCGGGAAACAATAAGTTCATAAAATAAACTAAATAAAGCACCAGGAAACAATGCCAGAGAAATGGATGCACGTGTTGTTTCAGACACAGAAATCAAAATAGCTGTTTTTAAGAAACTCATTCATAATAACAAAGAGAAGAAATTTAGAATAATATCAGATAAATTTAACAAAGACATTGAAATAAATTTAAAAAATCAAACAGAAATTATGGAGTTGAAAGATGGAATTGACATACAGAAGAATGCATCAGAATCTCTTAGCAGAATGGATCAAGCAAAGAAAGAATTAATGAGCTTGAAGACAGTCTATTTGAAAGTACACAAAGGAGACTAAAGAAAAAAGAATAAAGAGATTGAAGCATTCCCACAAGATCTAGAAAATTTGACAAGTAAGTTGAAGATACAAGGATTGAAAAGAAGGAATAATAAAATACCTGTTTGTGGCCCCAAAAAGGAGAGGAACCAGGAGAACCATCCCAAAGTAGATATCCATGAAGACTATGCTTGTGATGCTTTTTTTTTTTTCTATTTCAGCAGCTTGACATGGTTTTTTTTTTTTTTTTGGACATGGTTCTGCACTATTCCCGACTGATTAACATAAACACAACATTCCTATTCAAGGACTAAACAAATACCCCACTGGGCTCCTGTAAGCAGATTTATGCCACAGCCATTTTGGAGAACAATTTGTGCTATGAAGTTGGCCTGATTTTGGAGGACTTCCTGGGTGTCCGAGATATGTTTGAGCTTGGTGGGGTGTTCCATTGAGAGGGTATAATAAGTATGGGCTGTGAGGCTCATACCTATTATTCCCATGCTTAACCCAATGGCAATCCCTAGGCCAATGAACAGGGCAATCAGATGGATTGCTCAGTTTTCTCTGCTAGAACTATAAAGTGGTATTGGAAGGAATTGATTGGAAGGAGCAATTTGGATGTCTAGGACTAAGTAAACTAGTGTACAAGTTCTAGTTCAGTTGGCTGGAAGACAAATACATGCATTTGTTTATGGAGGAAGAATGCTTCCTCAGATTTAAGGCAAGATATTAAACTTAGAGTGAAGAAACGAAGTGTGTTTTGGCCTTCTGACCTGAAGAACAAGTATGAGGTAGCTAGAGTAGCAGTTGTAAGAGGCTGTAAGGCTTGGATATTATAGTTTGCATTTGGGTGGATTTTGTTTTCCCAGAATAACTGAAAGCATTGAGAGTCTAGAAAAATCTGAGATTTGGGGTTGCTGAGCATGAGAAGTTGTAGGCAATTGTTAGGGGAATTCATAACCTTGCCATTTTGCCATGGAGTTACATCAGGACAAGTGTCTGGAGAGGGCCTCACTGTACAGAAGTGATAGTTTATAGTTTGGAGATTTGGGGCATTGAGGTTGGCTAGGCCTGATATTCTAACTGGTACCAAATTATATTTTCCCCGATACATATTTTCTATTGGTACAATTTATAGTTACAGTGTAGTTGCAAAGGGGTTTAGGAACATTACCAACAGGGTTGAAGTAATGTTTGTTTTCTGTTGCTTAAAAAAAAAAGCTTAATGTTTGAATTGGACTTGTTTAAAAAGGGGGCCTACAACAGGGGATTTTCTCTTGGGTCAGGGAACCAGTCCTTTGAGAGGGTTTATGTTTTTAGCTTGGTTGTGTATTGACTTAAATAGGCAGAGAATGAAGCTACCATGCCTTGTGTATGCTTTTTAGGGTCCTGTGGGAGTGGGAAAACAGGAATTTGGGATACAAGGTGGTGTTAAAAGGGATGAAATTCTGAGCATAAATAGGGAATATGGAATCATACCTTTCAGGGACTAATAGTAAACAAAACCAACAATCCTTGGCACACAGAGAATGTTGTTTCCTTAATAGCTTGTGAGTCCCTTCAAGTACAATGTAATCCACAAGACTTGGCAGAGTAAGGTTCATTTTAAGTGTTAATGCTAATTGTAGAGATATCCAAGTAACTAGGATGAAGCCTGACATGTTAAAGGTGACAATATGTAGTGAATTCAGGGAGACAGGAAAGAAGAAGGACTGTACAGAGTATAAGAAAAACAAACAAACACCTAGTACCTTGGTATATTGTTGTGTGGCATGGAGGTATATGAGATTACTAGGACAAATATAAAGAAATTTTATCTGGGTGGTAATCTTGGAAATCCCCCTGCAAATAGCAACCATATCCTACTTCCCTTATAATAGTATTAATGTCAAGAGGATGAAGCTGTTTAAGTGAAGCAGTTGGATAATTACTGTGAGCCTGTAATAGAATTGAGTAAAAAGAGTTAGCTCTAAGAATAAAGTTTTAAAAAGCCATTGGGCTAATTTCTGTCAACTTCAAGAGAGATCAAAATATTCTAGATTTCTTGGGAAAGCAGGAAGCCCTGGTATTAAATGATGTTTTTGGGACCTCTGTAAATTATAAATATAAAATATAAGAAGTTCATGGCTTCTTCCTTTGGTGATTGGTAATTTAGAAAGCACAGTTACAAACAAGGTCATCAAGAATAAAATATTGTTTAGGCATCTGGTTTTTAGAAATTGTTCTAATTGGTTATCTTTTCAGAAAATCCAAGTGAAGGAAGTTTTTACTGAAAATTTTATGCTATTTTTCCTATAGTATGTGGTATTGATTTTGTGACATTAAATTATATGGCTGATTAGATAAACCCAAATCTCAAAGTTGGTATTACTGCCTTGAGTCCACCAGCGCTTGCATGTTTTTATGTGCTTGATAGAGTGCAAACTGCCTTGATGAGTATCTATTTGCTAATTTAATAAATAGATTAACTATCTGGGATCCCCACCAGAAATTTCAGAGGACTCAGTAATAGCTTTAATTGTTAGCTACAGTAGCTAGACTATGTTATGGTGGTTGAGTCATTGGCATGCTTATTCTTAAAGAGTGAAGTTCAAGGAGAAAGGAGAATATTATTGCATCCAGATGTAAAAAGGCAGTTGAAGTGCAGAACAATGAAAGTAATGACCAGGATGCAGTTTACAGCTGTAATTAAGTAAAGAAGCCAGGAAAAAAGTAGATTTCATTGATTTTTAAGGAAAGTTAAGGGAGTAAGGAAAAAGAAACTCCTTGAAGCTAGAGTTGAAAATTAGGGTTAGTATTACCTGAATCCAACTCAGAGTCTGAGTTTGTCTAAACAATAGATAGAGTCTGATTTGGATGTGTCCTCACCCAAATCTCATTTTGAATTATAGTTCTCCAAATCCCCATATGTCATGGGTGGGACCAGGTGAAGACAAATGAATCATGCAGGCGGTTTCTCCCATCCTGCTCTCAGGAGATCTGATGGTTTTATAAGGGGCTTCCCCCTGCACTGGGCACTCAGTCTTCTTCTCCCTGCCACCATGTGAAGAAGGATGTGTTTGCTTCCCCTTCCACCATAATTATAAGTTTCCTGAGGCCGAATGCAGAATGGTGAGTCAGTTAAACCTCTTTTCTTTATAAATTACCCACTATCAGATATGTCTTTGTTAGCAGCATGAGAATGGACTAATACAGGAAATTGGTACCAGGAGTGGAGTGCTCCTATAAAGATATCCAAAAATGTGGAAGCAACTTCGGAACTGGGAAACAGGCAGAGGTTGAAACAATTTGGAGGTCTCAGAAGAAGACAGGAAGATGTGGGAAAGTTTAGAACTTCTTAGAGACTTGATAAATGGCTTTGATCAAAATGCTGATAATAATATGGACAATAAAGTCCAGGCTGAGGTGGTTTTAGAGCGAGATGGGAAACTTGTTGGGAACTGGAGTAAAGGTCACTGTTGCTATGCAAAGAGACTGGTGGCATTTTGCTCCTGCCCCAGAGATCTGTGGAACATTGAATTTGTGAGACCTGATTTAGGGTATCTGGCCAAAGAAATTTCTAAGCAGCAAAGGATTCAAGAGGAAGCAGAGAATAAAAGTTTGGAAAATTTGCAGCCTGACCATGGGATAGGAAAGAAAATCCCATTTTCTGAAGAGAAATTCAAGCCCACTGCAGAAATTTGCATAAGTAATGAGGAGCTGGATGTTAATCACCAAGACAATGGGGTAAATGTCTCCAGGGCATGTCAGAGACCATCACAACAGCCCCTCCCATCACAGACTCCAAGGCCTAGGAAGGAAAAGTGGTTTCCTGGGCCAGGTCCAGGGACCCACTACTCTATACAGCCTTGGGACTTGGTGCCCTACATCCCAGCCACTCCAGGCATGGCTATAAGGGGCCAACGGACAGCTCAGGCCATTGCTTCAGAGAGTGTAAGACCCAACCCTTGGCAGCTTTCACATGGTGTTGGGCCTGTGGGTGCATACAAGTCAAGAATTGAGGTTAAGAAACCTCTGCCTAGATTTCAGAGTATGTATGGAAAGGCCTGGATATTCAGGCAGAAGTTTGCTGCAGGGCCAGAGCCCTCATGGAGAACCTCTGCCATGTTAGTATATAAGGAAAATGTGGGGTAGAAGCCCCTACACAGAGTACCCACTGGGACACTGCCTAGTGGAGCTCTGAGAAGAGGGCCACTGTTCTCCAGACCCCAGAATGATAGATCCACCAACAACTTGCACCATGTGCCTGGAAAAGCTGCAGACACTCAATGCCAGCCCATGAAAGCAGCCAGGAGTAGGGCTGTACCCTGAAAATGGTCCTAACCCAGCCATTGGATCCCTTCCAATGACCAATCAGTTATCAGAGAACCCTGATTGGTTGGCACAGGGCTGGCCTCCGTTCCTCCATGCGCTAGCATCTGTGACCCTATTAGTTGAGGGGGGTCTCCAAGCTAACTCTGGGCCAAGAAATAATAATATATACACCACACAATGTAACAAATATTTTAAACTCAAAGCCCTTTCACTGGGTCTCTAATAGTGGAATTAGCAGATATCAGTCAGTACTGCAAACACCATAATTAAACATTAAGCCACGTCAATTTCTTAATCCTGCTACCCTGTTACCATCTCCAAATGCAGATGGACCACTTAAACACTCCTGCTTACAAACTATTGATTTAACTTGTTGCACCAGAACAGACCTCCAAGACACCCCCCTTACCAATCAATCTAGAGGCCACTTGGTTCACAGACAGCAGTAGTTTCATGTTGGAAGGTACCCAGTTATCAGGGTATGCAATTGTTAGCCTTACTGAAGTTATAGAATCAAGGCCCGTACCAGGCAGCACCACCTCAGCCCAGAAGGCAGAACTTATTGCCCTTACTCAAGCCTTACAATTAGGACCAGGCATGAGATTTAATATTTACACAGACTCAGCCTAGGCATTCATGTAGTACATGCCCATGCAGCCATTTGGTGAAAAAGGAAACTCTCAACAGACCAAACTTCTCCAATTAGACATGCTCCTGTAATCATGATTCTGTTAGAGACAATTTTGCTTTTTGCACAGGTAGCTATCATTCACTGCAGAGCCCATCAGGGAAGCAGTGATGAAATCTCAATTGGGAACAAATGAGCTGATGACTAAGCAAAAGCAGCTGCCAGGCTGCCCCTTCAGGCAGTTTTGGTTCCTAACCCCACTCTCCTGTCTCACACTATTCACAGAAAGAAACCCAAAGGGCTCTAGTGAAAGGCTTCTCTCATAACTCAGAAAGCTGGCTAAAAAGCTCTAACGGCAAACTTTCATTCCAGGAGCCTCACAATGGAAACATTTAAAAAGCTTACACAAATCAACTAATGTGGGGGCCAAAGCCCTCCAAAACTTAGTAAGTCCACTGTTTATTGGTAAAGGAATAACCCAATCTTCAGCGAGCCATCTTGCAGGCTTGTGCCACATGCTGCGAAAATGAATCCTGAAGGGACCCACAAATCTCCTCCTCTCCTCTACTCCATTCGAAGATGAGGGACCCTACCAGGAGAAGATTGGCAGCTAGATTTTACGCACATGCCTCCAATGCAAGGAACTTAAATACTTGCTAGTCTTTGTAGATACTTGGGGGGATAGAGGCCTTTCCCACCAAAACTGAACAGGCATTAGAAGCCACCATGGCCCTTTTGGACCACATTCTTCCCTGTGTTGGGCTCCCTTACTCATTCCATAAGACAATGGCCCTGCCTTCATTTCTCAAAACAAGAAGTTGCTAAGGCCTTCAAATGAAATACTACTTGCTTGCATTCTGGTATCCACAATCCTCTGGAAAAGTAGAAAAAGCTAATCAAACCATAAAAAGGCATCTCACAAAGCTAATACAGGAAACTGAACAGTCACGGCCCGCTGTGCTCCCTATTGCCCTCTTAAGGTCTTGCATTACCCCAAATTCAGAAACCCATCTCAGCCCATTTGAAGTTCTTTATGGAAGGCCCTTCTTACAAACAGACCTCTTGTTAGATCCAGAAAGTCATTATTTCACACAGCATGTGATATCTCTTAGGACAAACCATCAAAACCATTACCCATTACCAAAATCTTCATAGTCTAAAACCCAATCCCTCTTTTCCAGAGAACACACAGCCTAAACTGATGCCTGAGGACTGGGTGTATCTTAAAACTCTCGCATAGGAGGAAAGGCCTTTAGAATCCATCTGGACTGGGCCATATCAAGTTCTTCCTACCACCCCAATGGCTGTAAATCTCCGAGGTGTCTCTCCATGGGTCCGCCTCTCCAGAGTCAAAGCCACTCAGGCACTAAGTGAAGATCCTCTACTACATACAGCTGTGAGACAATCAGAGACCTCTGTATTAGTCTGTTGTCACACTGCTAATAAAGACATACCAGAGACTGGGTAACTTATAAAGAAAAGAGGTTTTTTGACTCAGAGTTCAGCATGGCTGGGGAGGCCTCAGGTAATTACAATCACCTGAAGCTGAAGCAGCTGATACGCAGGGCACCATGTCTCAAGGCTGCATAGAGCAGGGGGGCACTGGGCCAGGCCCATGAAACCATGTATTCCTCCTAGGCCTCTGGGCCTTTGATGGGAGAGGGCTGGCATGGAGGTCTCTGACACACCCTGGAGACATTTTTCCCATTAGCTTGGGAAATAATGTTCAGCTTCTCGTTACTTATACAAATTCTGTGGCCTGCTTGAATTTCTCCCCATAAAAATGGATTTTTCTTTTCTATTGCATGGTCAGGCTACAAATTTTCCAAATTTTTATGCTCAGCTTCCTCTTGAACACTTTGCCACTTAAAAATGTCTTCTGTTAGATACCCTAAATCATCTCTCTCAAGTTCAAAGTTCCACAGATCTCTAAGGCAGAGGCAAAAAAATGCCACCAGTCTCTTTGATAAAGCATAGCAAGAGTCACCTTTATTCCAGTTTCCAACAAGTTCCTCATCTCCATCTGAAACCACCTCAGCCTGGACTTCATTGTCCATATCACTATCAGCATTTTGATCAAAACCATTCAACAAGTCTCTAGGAAGTTCCAAATTTTCCCACATCTCCCTGTCTTCTTCTGAGCCCTCCAAACTCTTCCAACCTCTGCCTGTTACCCAATTCCAAAGTTACTTCCACATTTTTCAGTCCCTTTATAGCAGTATCCCACTCTCTGCTGTATCATCTTACTGTATTAGTCCGTTCTCATGCTGCTGTAAAGAAATACCTGAGACTGGGTAATATATAAGGAAAACAGGTTTAATTGCCAGAGGGATGCAAGAAACTGGCTGCTGAAAGACAGAAAAAAATAAGTAAACTCAGGTCCTTTGACCAAAACGGGTGATGGTGGTCAGACACTTCCACATAGACACCTTTTGGTCCCACCTGTGTGTAGCTCCAATCAGTGACCTGCAATTGGCTCGTGCTTAGACGCTGTCTGCTGAGGGTCCCAAGTTGGGAAAGGGAAAGAGACAGGGGAGAGAGTTCCCCGTGAAAAGAAAGTCCCCTAATGGGCCACCAAAATATTACAGGTGAACGACAACTATCTGGGCCGGTGGCATGGGGATAGAAGAATTTGCCAAGACAGTTGTAGGTAAAGAAAGGCAGATTTATTAGAAAAATTGTTAGGAAAATAGTTTGCAAGGAGGCAATGGGAAGGCCAACAGAAACTGACTGCCGGGAAACAAAGGCTCGGTGGAAATTTTATCAAATAGTGTTTATGCTGTCTGCTGAAGAGGGCTTTGTGCAGTACTAAAAACGCTAAGGTTGCGGTGACCTAACTTGTAGGTGTCTAATGATAGTTGGGCTCAGGAAGATTGTCAGTTGTTTGCACAAGAGGTCTATATGACCTGAACCGTGAAGAAAGGCGTACTTAGAGCTTATCTGTTTTTTCGTTTTGTTTTTCCCATCTCTCACCAGCCTAACTCTTTTGTCTATTTAAGACTCCACACATATCAAACTCTTAGATGGGAATCCCTTTTGTACCAAACAATTTTACTTTCTGTCCCTGTTCAGAGAATACTCCAAGGGTGGTGTTTTTTCCAATTTTATGTGTAAGTAGAGACACAGATGGAAAAATTTTAGATGTAGACATAGAGATAGAAACACATAGATAGAGTCAAATCAATAAACTTTTGTTACCTAAAAGAAAAATCAGAAGTAGATTGAAATGGATCAAAAGACTTGTTTGCTTAGCATTTGTGTTATCTACTGAACAGCCTTGAAAATGATGGGAGCAGTGGGTGATGAATGCTTGCTTGTCCCTTAAGCTATAGTGAATAAATTGCACAATAAATGAGCAAGGATCTATAAACATAGCTCCAGGGGCCTCCATTCTGTTCGTTCCTGATTCCGTGTCCCTCCTGTATGCTTCAGGCAAAATGATGCTTCTGTGAAAGTGCATTGTAACTACTTGAAATGATTTTAAAGCAATAACATATAAACTATTTCTAACCCATTTTATTTTGAGACTTTTCTCAGTTCTTTAAGAATTGATCAAGTTGGAAAGAATATCCAATTTCAAAGTTTAACTGTAAATAATTTGTATTTGCAAATAAAAATATCCTCTAGAAAATTGTCAGCTTACTAAAATTAAACCTGTGAAATGTTTAAATCTATGAAAATTAACAAGGTATTTTCTAGGTGTCTTATGAATATATGTCAGTGCAAAAACTGATTCTAGAACATAGAGATTTAATAAAGTTGTATGTTTTATTGACTATGCTTCACATTTCTTTGAAAAATTTGTCATTTATTTTATTACAATATTTTGCATTTTAGTGAAAAGTATGAGGTATGTTTACTTTAACATTTAAAAATCATAATAATTTTTCACATCTTTAGAAATAATGCAAATAAGGCAACTTACCTATCAACCAGAATAAATAAATGAAAGACAGAAGTCTAGGGTATGAAACCCAAATATGACAATACATAAAAAATGTACAGAGCTACTTGAGAAACAATTTTGCTTAGATAAAATTTCTTTTTTAAATATGTATATTTTTTCATATAAGCCATAAATTGACTTTTTCTTTTTAATTCTAGTTCTACAAAATGTGACACAGGCTATACAAGAAATTACCCACGTATATATTCATTTGTTGAATGCACCAGTGAATAAAGCAAACAAATATTGATTCATTGGCTGAAAAAAAGGTTTTTAAATAATTGGTTTGAAGATACATTGTTTCAATGATTTATTGCTGCATAAGGAATCATCCCAAGCATAATAACATGAAACAAACTTATTTTTATTATTACTATTTGTGATTTGAAATATAAGTTAGGATTAGATCAGGTCGATAATTATTTTTGTGGATCTCCCGGGCTAAAATCCAAAGGTGACTGGGGCTGGAGACATTTAGAAGCCTTCGTAATTCATGTGTATGAGTTAATTCTGGCTGCTGCCTGGGAACTCAATAATGGCCTCAGCTAAAAGATATAAATATGTGACCTGGGATTCCTCATAGCCTGGCAAGTGACTTCCAGGAGCTATTGTCCCAAAAAGGAGCCATGTAGAAGCTCTATCATCTTGTTAAAGATATGACATCTTTTCAAGGATACAGTTAACCTTACATATCATCATTTACACTGTATGTAATATCACTTCCATAGGGGCAGTAACAAAGGCCCACCCAAGTTCAAGGACACTGCAACCTCTGCCTCCTGGGTTCAAGTGATTCTCCTGCCTCAGCCTCCTGAGTAGCTGGAATTACAAGTACACACCACCAGCTAAGTTTTTGTATTTTTAGTAGAGACAGGGTTTCACTATGCTGGGCAGGCTGGCCTCGAACTCCTGACCTCGTGATCCACCCGCCTCAACCTCTCAAAGTGCTGGGATTAGAGGTGTGAGCCACCTCGCCCAGCCCTAGGCTCCACTTCTTGACAGGATAGTAGCAAGGATCTAGAAGAGCATGTGGGATCATAAATATTGTTGCAGTCATTACTTGAACATACAATCTGCCACAGGCATTATAGAAAGCAGTATAAGAAATTAGTTTAATGCAGTCCAAACTCTGACACCTGCTAGACATATTAACTTAGTAAGTTGCTTTACTTTCTTAAGGCATAGTTTCTTCATCTGTAAAGTGCAGATAATAACCCATAATTTATAGGGCTACTATTATTATTACACCTTATTATTGCTATTATATGATGTACAACCATTCTATATGATAGTATTTTCTTCAGTAATGGAAATGTTCCATATCTTCACTGTCAATAGGACAGTTTCTAGCCATATGTGACTATTGAACTCTTAAAAGGTGACTCATGCACCTAAGGAACTGACTTTTCAAATTTTATTAAATTTAGATAGTAATTTTGGGAGATAATTTTCAGTAGATCTTTTGAGTTTCTGCATGTCTTGTGAATGAGGTACTACCTTTTGAGTTTCTGCATGTCTTGTGAATGAGGTACTAAGTGTCCCTTTTTCCAAACTAACATTTCAAGGATGTGTGTAGAGAACAGCCTTGAAAGATTGAGACTGTTTCCCTCCGGAGCAAAAGGAAGACATATAGAGAACCCATTATAAAAGGTGTTAGTTTCATAAACTCAAGATTTCTCTCCTGTAAGAGGAGATATTAACTGGCTTTCTATTGCATCACCCTGTGAGAACTGGGGCTCAAGAAAGCAGTGCAAAAAATGGTGACACTCTAACTACTATTGTTGTTGTGAATAATAAACTGTTCTTGGTTGCTGATCTAGGAGTCTCAAGTCTTCTTCCCATTCAGCTGGCCCAAAATTGTGCTCACCTAACAAGTTTGAGTAAAATTTCAGACCCTTTACAGTTCTTGACAGAAACATATGGCTTGTCATGACCATATTTCAAATATTTTTCTTCAAATGTTTTCTCTGTCCCCACTCTCCAACTTTGGGGGTCCACTTAACATGTTTCCTAGGTTAAAGTTTTCTCCCAGTTCACATTTTTTATTCCTTTTTTTCCAGTTTCATTTATGATAGTTGCTGATAAGACTTTAAGTTCAATTATCTTTTCTTCTGTAATGTCTAATCTGCCATTCATCCAGAATATCATCTGAGACATTGTATTCTTTAATTTTTCAGATTTGATTTGTCTTTTTGAATATTTTTCTTGTCTCTACATAATATTCAATCCTTCCACTTGCTTGATGTGGTGTTGATTTTTCTATTCTATAATTCTTCTCAAGCTTTATTCTGGGATGCAGTTTTATTTCGTAAACAGCTTTATCCATGCTTTTTAAGGTTTGTTAGGTGGGACCTAAACAACATTTTATGCAAGGTTTATTATCTCTAATCCAAAGGAAAGACTTCTAAAAATACTTTACCTGACCAGGCGCAGTGGCTCACGCCTGTAATCCCAGCACTTTGGGAGGCCGAGGTGGGTGGATCACTTGAGTTCAGGAGTTCAAGACCAGCCTGGCCTACATGGTGAAACCCCTTCTCTACTAAAAATACAAAAAAATTAGTCTGGCTTGGTGACGGGCACCTGTAATCCCAGCTACTTGGGAGGCTGAGGCAGAAGAACCACTTGAACCCGGGAGGTGGAGGTTGCAGTGAGCCAAGATCGTGCCATTGCACTCCAGCCTGGGTGACAAGAGCGAAACTCTGTCTAAAAAACAAACACACAAAAAAAACACTTTACCTAATGCTCTGTGAATTATGACATTGACCTGTGCAGCTGGTAAGAATAGGCATTGTTCTAGGCCTTGTCTGAGCTCCAAGTATTCTATCCTCTAATTCCTTTGAGCAGTTCTTTTGTCTTGAGTAGTTTTCTCCCACGCATCAACTTCACAGTACTCTGATGAATACTCAGTGATGATCCTATTGTGATTTTCTAAGTGTTTTCTCTGTGTAGGCCTTTCCTCTAAGTTACTCTACCTTGTAAGCTGTAGCCACCTTGCTCTCTCTGGACTTACAGGCATATCTCCTCAACTGTGAGAGTCTGCTGGGCTTCCCCTGGCTTCCCTGTCTCTGAGCTGCATCTGGGAAACTCTCAGAAGGTGGTAACCTGGGGAATTATTGTCATGCATTGCCTGAACTCCAACGTTTTGAAAAGTGTTATTTTCATATATTTTTCAAGTTATTGTTTGTTTTTAGACAAAAAATCAAATATCTGTTACTTTCTTTGGGTTGGATAAATTGTTTTATTCATATTATTGGGAAGTTCTTTTGCCTTGAGTAGTTTCCTCCCAAGCATGAACTGATCAGTACTCTGATAACTGTTCAGTGAGAATCCTATTGACATCTCCAGAAAATTTCCATCAATGATTCTTATTATTGTTGTTGTTTTATTGACATTTTGTATTCCAATTTTTCTCAAAAGTCAGAATATATGTTCACAGTTAAGAATGAGGAACTAAAAACTGTTAAGAAGCTCTGTATAAGTCAATCGAGCTTGCTTACATGTAAGCTTAGGGAGACCTTTGATTAGAGATTTGGTCATTATGTTGATGAATGTTTAAATGCAAGAACTCAGAAAATTTCACTCTAAGATAGCTCAGTTTTCTTTAACTGGAACAATGTATTATATTTGGAAGCTAGCACTTCCAGATGTGGAGGCAGTACTTACTTTTTAGGATAGATTGATTGAATGGGAAATTTACTCATTAATATTCATACTTTCAATCAATTCCCTGTCGTCAACCCAGTGTCTCTCTCAAAAACTCTCTTATCTAGTAGAAAAAGTAATAATTGGGATTGAAAACCTCTAGAGAGGCTGAGTACTTAGAACATACATGATGGAGTGCAAACTTGTCTATCAGTCAGAGTAGTGGAAGACTCTGCCTACAGGTACTCCAACAACTTCTTCAAGTATAGAAGTGAGCCTGTCCATTCCAAGATATTTTCTCATCTTGAATGACATTGTAAGACTTTTGTGGGTTTCAGAACTGGTTGTGAAAGAAAGAATTGTTTACAAATTTGGAAAAAAAAAAAGTAAGACAACAGACATAGAACCCTTACCGAAATGGGTTTTCTATCCTGGAAGAAACAGTATAAGCATGTATTTTAAGGCACCTATGGTAGAACTTTTAAAGCAAGGCAGAACAGTTTTGTATAAATGTAGACGAGCGAATTATATTTAGAAGTGCACCAGCCACCATTACTGTTTGTAAAGCACTATGATTTGCATGCCCCAAATAATTTAATCTCCACAGCAACCCATTATTTTACTATAAAACAAGAAGTTTATAATCCCAATTTTGTCTTTATCTTTGGTATAGTGGGATTCAACTAATTTTGAAACTAAAACAAATTAAGTAATTAACCAATAACAGTACAAACTCAATTAAAATGCATTTGGAATATACATTTTTATAGACTGAGGGTCTAGAGCAAAATAAATACTGGATATTATAAAAGTGGGTTACCTCTAACCCTAGATTTTTACAGCCTAATTTAGCATGGCACAAGCCTGGTACGCTCTCATAAGCATTATAGATTAAATCAAAATCTCAATTTTTTATGTGTAACACTTAAAGAAGGCCAGTTTTCAAGCAGTCATTGAGAATCAACAAGAGGTAATAAATAGTGCTTAATATGGAACGCTATCACATAGTTATAGCAACACTGACTGAAGCTTGGCTGAGGTAGTAGAGAATGACAAGCTTTGGAATCTGACCCCTTGAGGTCTATCTTATAAGGCCAAAGCAGCTGACTCTCCAGTCTGAACTTGATGCAAAATTTCTAATATATAAGACATACTTTTCATTTTAATTCATACAAGATACAATGTTAAATATTTCATATGAGAACCTGACTGCTTCCTCATAAATGTATAGGTTAATGTGAAGAGTGATGCCTTTCATTATATTTTGAATAGAATATTGAAAATACTCAATTTGAGTACAATCTGTATAATTTTAGGTTTTTAAAAATAATTCAGATGCATTCATTTATTCTTGATTAATAAATCGAGATCTGAAAAAGAATATGTTTTACTTTATGGCATGTAGCATTAATAATTTGTTACTTCACTCACAAGTCTTTCATTTGAGTAAGCCAGGAAAAATATTCAGGGAAAATAATTTTCCAAATCATAGGCATACTAATGCCAGGTAGCTACAGCTGCTATAAGGGGCAATCTTGCTGAATTTGACAAGAGAAATTAGTGTGCTGACAAGCATAGTTATATAAAACTACATTTTTTCTATGAATTTAGAATGAGCTCTTTTCCCTGGGATTATCTAGGTAACTGTATCCAGGTAAAAAGCCTTCTATTTATGGTTTATCCTCAAGTACTCTCAGAGACATTCCAAAGTTTCTAATCTTTTTAACATGGTTATGCTTCTATGACTGACCAGGCACACAAAATGGAAAATAGCACATTTGGTGCTCTTAGATACCTCGGTAAACACAGGACCTCTACAATGAAAAGACTATGTTGAATTCCATAAGACATAGACTCTTAACTAGTCATGTTTGTGAAAACCCTTCTCAGTGTGTTGCCAAATACTTTCCAAAGCTATGTTTTATTGTTGCGATTGAGAATACATACATTTTACGGCAAAGTTTGTCAGAAGGATTACTGATTTGAGCAGTTGTGAGATGCAATATAAGAAGAAAGAGGTATAAAAAAATCACATACTCTTAGGGATCAATCTTGCATTCAATAAAATACTAGAGAAATTTGCTGAAGGGTATATAAAAGGGTAAAACCATTAAAAAAAACACCTGTAATAATTTTAGTAAAGTAAACAGAAAAGAAATTAAATAGTGTAATAAATGTGGATTATTTTGTCTTAGTCTGCATAGTATTGCCATAAAGAAACACCTGAGGCTTGAGTAATTTATAAAGAAGAAAGGTTTGGAGAAAGGCAGAGCAACATGGCCAAATAGAAGGCTCCACTGATCATCCCTCCAACAAGGACGCAAATTTAACAACTATCTACACACAAAAAGAAGCACCTTCATAAGAACCACAAAACAGGTGAGCACATAAAGTACCTGGTTTTAACTTCATATCACTAAAAGAGGCACTGAGAAGGTTAGAAAAGAAGTGCTGAATCACAAATGTCACCACCGTCCCATCCTGCAACAACAGCTGCATGGTGCAGAGACAGAATCTCTGTGCTTGGGAGAGTGAGAGTGCAGCAATTGTGAGACACTGCTTTGAACTCAGTGCTGCCTTGTCAGAGCAGAAAGCAAAACCCACCTGAACTCAGCTGATGCCAAAACATGGCTGGAATACTTAAACCAACCCTACTCTGAGAGTAATTTTCCATTTGAAGTAATTGACACTTGAAATTTGACAAGCCTCACCACCTCGAGCTAAGCTGCTCTGGGGCCCTATGTGAATTTGAAGGACAGTCTAGGCCATAAGGACTGCAAGTCCTAGGTGAGTCCTAGTGCTGAACTAGGCTCAGAGCCAGTAGATTTGGGGAGCAAGTGACCTACTGAGATACCAGCTGGGGTTGCTAACAGAGCAGTTGTGTCATCCATGCCCAACTCATGAAGTGCAGCTCATGACCTCAAAAGAAACCCCTTTATTTTGCTTGAGGAGAGAGAAGGGTAAGAGGACTTTTTCTTGCCTCTTGAATACCAGCTAAGCAACAGTAAAATAGGGAACCGGTCAGTGTTGTGAGGCCCCATTTTCAGGTGACAGATCCTAGACAACATTTCTACACACACCCTGGGCCAAAAGGAAACCCACTGCCTTGAAGGGAAAGGCCCATCACCTGCTGACTAAAGAGTTAATGGGCACTGAATAACAAGCAGTGATACCCAGGTGGTACATGCCATGGTCCTTGGGTAAGACTTTGAGACTTTTACTTTTGGTGATTCCTTGCTTCTGCTACAGCACATTCCCAGCTATAGTGGCTATTGGAAGAGACTTCATCTGCTTAAAAAAAACATAGGGGAAAGTAAAGAAAATTTTGTCTCACACCTTAGATTTCAGCTAGGCCACAAAGGGATAGCACACAAGTGAGGCCTTTGGATCCCTGATTTCAGGACTTGCCTCTTGGATGGCATCACAAAGCCTGCTCTGGGCCAGAGAGGAGCCCACTTCCCTGAAAGGTGAGTCATAGGCCAGGCAACATTTACCTCAATCTTGCTGAAGAGCCCTTGGGCTTAAAGCGAATATTGGTGGTATCCTGGCAGTAATCCCCATAGGCCTATGGTGGGAATAGATATGGGGTGAGGCTCCTCTGCCTGTGGAAAGGGGAGGGAAGAGAGAAAAGAACTGTATCTCATGGTTTGAGTGCCAACTCAGCCACTCTGCAACACAACACCATGTAGATTTCTAAGGTTTTTTTTTTGTTTTTTTGTTTTTGTTTTTTTTTTAACTATAGTCCCTGGTTTCCAGATGTCATCTCTGGAACCACCATGGCATTGGGAAATTCACTGCCCTGAAGATAAGAATACAAGTCTGGTGGCTTCACCAGCTGCTGATTGTAGAGCCTTGAGTGAACATAGGCCGTAGCCAGGTCATGGTTATAGCAGGCCTTGGGCAAGACCCAGTGCTGTGTTGGCTTTGGGTCTAACCCAGCACAGTCTCAGTTGTGGTGCTCATAGGGGTGCTTGTAACACCCTACCACCAGATCCAGGTAGCTCAGAATGGAGAGACAGAGAGAGAGAGAGAGACTTCATTTATTTGGGAGAATATAAGGGAAGAGAACAAGAGTCTCTGCCTCATAATCCAGATAATTCTTAAGAATTTCATCTAAGACCTTCAGGTGGTACTTCAATAAGTCTGCAAGAACCACAGCTTTACTGGATTTGGGTTTCCCCCTAATGCACATGCAGCTAAGATTACAACAATCAAGTATTTTTGAATATGTTGAGAGCTTTCCCAAGAATGTTGGGTACAACTAAGCACAGAGTGTGAAGATGAAAATAAATACCTATCTCTTAAATAGCCAGACACAGATAAACATCCACAAGCATCCAGATTATTCAGGACTATATGATCTCACAGAATAAGCTAAATAAGGCACCAGAAATGAATTTGGGGAAAATAGAAATATGTGACCTTTCAGACAGAGAATTCAAAATAGCTGTTTTGAGGGAACACAAAGTACTCAAAGTAATTCAACATAACGGAGGGCAGAAATGCAGAATTCTATCAGATAAATTTAAAAAGCTGACTAAAATAATTGCAAAGAATCAGGCATAAATTCTGGAGAAGTTAAATAATGCAATTGACATAATGAAGAGTGCATCAGAGTCTTTAATAGCAGAATTGATCAAGAAGAAGAAAAAATTAGTGACTTTGAAGACAAGCTATTTGAAAATACACATTCAGAGGAGAAAAAAGAAAAATGAAGAAACAATGAAGCACACCGACAGGATCTAGAAAATAGCCTCAAAAGGGTAAATATAAGAGCTACTGGACTTAAAGAGGAGGTAGAAAAAGGATAGGGATAGAAAGTTTATTCAAAGTGATAATAAAATACAACATCTCAAATGTAGAGAAATATATCAATATCCAAGTACAAGAAGGTTATACAACCCCAAGCAGATATAACCCAAAGAAGACTAATCTCAAAGCTTTTAATACTCTAACTCCTAAAGGTCAAGGAAAAAAAGGGTCTTAAAGCAGCCAGAGAAAAGCAACAAATAACATACAATGGAGCTCCAATACATCTGGAAGTATGCTTTACAGTAGAAACCTTACAGGCCAGGAAAGAATGGCATGACATATTTAAAATGCTGAAGGAAAAAAACGTATCCCCTAGAATAGTATATCTGGTGAAGTAAACTTCAAACATGAAAAAGAAATAATAATTTTCGCAGACAAATACAAGATGAAGAATTTAATCAATACAAGACCCATATTACAAGAAATACTCAGAAGAGTACTTCAACTAAATGAATAAAAAACATTAATGAGCAATAAATAATCATCTGATGGCACAAAAGTTACTGGTAGTATCAACTACATAGAAAAACATATAATATTGTAAAACTGTAACTACTGTAACTGTGGTGTGTAAACTACTCTTATTATATGTAGAAAGACTAAATAAAGAACCAAACAAAAATACCTAAAACAACTTTTCAAGACATAGTACAATAAAATATAAATAGAAAATACAAAAATTTAAAAGTGAAGGAAAAAGTTAAGGCAAGTTTTTATTAGTTATTGTTTTGCTTGTTTTTTGTTTCTCTATGCAAATATTAAGCTGTTTTTAGGTTAAAATAATGGGCTATAAGACAGTATTTGCAAGTTTCATGGTAACCTCAAACCAAAAAACATACAATGAATACATAAATAATAAAAAACAAGAAACTAAATTATATCATCAGAGGAAATCATCTTCACTAGAGAAAGACAGGAAAGAATAAAAGGAGAAAAGATAGACCACAAAACAACCAGAAAATACATAACAAAATGGCAGGAGTAAGTCTTTACTTATCAATAATAACATTTAATGTAAATGGACTAAACACTCTAATCAAAAGATATAGACTGGCTAAATGGATGAAGAAACAAGATCCATTTATCTGTTGTGTAAATGGAGTACATTTCACCTATATAGACACACATAATCTGAAAATTAAAAAATGGAAAACTGTATTCCATGCCAATGCAAACCCCAAAAAAGCAGGAGTTGCTATACTTATATTAGAAAAAAAATAGATATCAAGACAAAAACTATAAGAATAGACAAAGTAGGTCACTATATAATGATAAAGGGGTCAATTTGGTAAGAGGATATAACAATTTTAAATATGTAGTCACCCAACACGGGAACACCCTGGTACACAGAAAATATTATTAGAGCTAAAGAAAGAGATCGGCTCCAGTACAATAATAGCTGGAGACTTTGACACCCCCACTTTCAGCACCGGACAGATCTTCTAGACAGAAAATCAATAAAAAAAATCAGAATTAATCTGTACTATAGAACAAATGGATATAATAGATGTTTACACGGCATTTTACATAACAGCTGCAGAATACACATGCTTTTCTTCAACACATGGATGACTCTCAAGGATAAACAATATGTTAGGTCACAAAGCAAGTCTTAAAATATTCAAATATTTGAAATAATATCAAGCATCTTCTCTGGCAACAATGGAATAAAACTAGAAATTTATAACGAGAAATTTTTGAAACTATGCCAATACATGAAATTTAAACAATATGCTCCTAAGTGACCAGCAGTTCAATGAAAAAAGAAAGTTAAAAGAATTCTTAAAACAAATTGGAAACAATTGGAAAATCTCAAAGAAAGGGACAAATTGCTAGATACATGCAACTTACCAAGATTTAACCAGAAAGAAATCCAAAACCTGAACAGTCCATTAACAAATAATGAGATCAAATACATAATGAAATGTCTCACAGTAAAGAAAAGCCCAAGGCCTGATGGTTTCACTACTGAATTCTAACAAAAATATAAAGAAAAACTCATATCAATTCTGTTCAAACTATTTTAAAAAATAGAGGGCAAGACCAAACTTATTCTATGAGGCCAGTATTACCCTGATACCCAAACTATAAAAAGACACCTTAATTAAAGAAAAGCACTGGGCAATATTTCTGATGAATATTGTTGCAAAATTTCTTAATGAAATACTAGCAAACTGAATTCAATAATACCTAAGAAAGTTTATTCATCATGACCAGGTGGGATTTATCCCTGGGATGCAAAGATGTTTAAACATATACAAATCAACCAATATGATGCATCATATCAACAGAATAAAGGAAAAAATTATATGATTATTTCAATTGATGTGGAAAAAGCATTTGATAAAATTCAACATATCTTCATAATAAAAACCTTCAAATGGTGGAAATTTAAGGAATATACCTCAGCATAATAAAATCCATTATGACAGTGCCATGGCTAATATAATACTGAATGCGTAAAAACTGAACGCGTAAAAACTGAAAGGGTTTTCTCTAAGATCTGGAGCACAACAGGGACGTACACTGCCACCATTGTTATTTAAGATAGTACTGAAAGTCCCAGCTAGAGCAATCAGACAAGAGAAAGATATAAAGGGCATTCAAATTGAAAGGAAAGGGTCAAAATGCCCTTATTTGCAGATTATATGATCTTGTATTTGGAAAAATCTAAAGACTCCACAAGGAAACTATTATTAGAAGTGATAAACAAATTCAGTAAAGTTACAGGATACAAAATCAATGTAGAAAAAATGAATAACATTTCTATATGCCAGTAGTTAACAATGTGAAAAAAAATAACAAAACAAGAAATCCCATTTACAACAGCCACACATAAATACCTAGAAATTAACCAAAGAAGTGAAAGATTCCTATATCAAAAACTATAAAACACTGATAAAAAATTAAGGAGGACACCATAAAATGGAAAATTATTCCATGTTCATGGATTGGAAGAATCAATATTGTTAAAATGTACGCACTACCAAAGCTATCTGCAGATGCAATAGAGCCTGTATCAAAATACAAATTCATTTTTCACAGAACTAGCAAAAACTAATTCTAAAATGTATATGAAGCCACAAAAGACCCAGGATAGCCAAAGGTATGCTGAAGAAAATGAACAAAAATGGAATAATCACATTATCTGATGTCAAATTATAATACAGAACTATAGTAACTAAAATAGTATGGTGCTGGAACTCAGACCAGACACTTAAACCAATGAAACAGACACAAATCCACACACCTACAGTAAAACCATTTTTGACAGTGATACCAAGAACATATGCTGAGGGAAAGACAGTCCTTCAATAAATGATGCTGGGAAAACTAGATATCCTTATACAGAATAATAAAACTGGTTAACTATCTCTCACAATGATGTGGTTTGGTTATGTCCTCACCCAAAATCTCACCTTAAATTTAATCCCCATAATCTGTGTAATCACCAAGTGTGAAGGGCAGGATCAGGTGGAGGTAATCAGATCATGGAGGCATTATCCCCCATGCTGTTCTCATCATAGAGAGTTTCACCATGTCTGATGGTTTTATAAGCATCTGGCATTTCCCTTGCTTGTACTCACTCCATCCTGCCACCCTGTAAAGAAGGTGCCTGCTTCTCCTTTGCCTTCTACCATGATTGTAAGTTTCCTGAGGCCTCCCTGGCCATGCGGAACTGAGTCAATTAAACCTCTTCCCTTTATAAATTACCCAGTCCCAGGTAGTTCTTCATAGCAGTATGAGAATGGAATAATACACACCATATACAAAATCAAACCAAAATGAATTAAAGACTTAAATCTATGATCTCAAACTACATAACTGCTACAAGAAAACTATCAGGAGTGTGTAGTTCTCTTCCCTTTTGCATCCATCACTGAAGAGGGAGCGGCCAAAATGAAGTTTAATCCCTTTGTGACTTCCAACTGAAGGAAGAGTCGCAAAAGGCATTTCAATGCACCTTCCTACATTCACGGGAAGATTATGTCTTCCCCTCTTTCCAATGAGCTGAAACAGAAGTATAACGGGTGATCCATGCCCATCCAAAAGGATGATGAAGTTCAGGTTGTACGAGGACACTATAAAGGTCAACAAATTGGCAAAGTAGTCAAGGTTTACAGGAAGAAATATGCTACATACATTGAACGGGTGCAGTGGGAAAAGGCTAATGGCACAACTGTCCACGTAGGCATTCACCCCAGCAAGGTGGTTATCACTAGGCTAAAAGTGGACAAAGACCGCAAAAATATCCGTGAACGGAAAGCCAAATCTTGCCAAGTAGGAAAGCAAAAGGGCAAATACAAGGAAGAAACAATTGAGAAGATGCAGGAATAAAGTAATCTTATATACAAGCTTTGATTACAACTTGAAACAAAGAAAAAAGAAAAGAAAACTACCAGGAAAATTTTCCAGGACATTGTTTAGGGCAAAAATTTCTTCAGTAATACTCTATAAGCACAGATAGCCAAAGGAAAAATAGACAAATGGCATCACAACAAGTTAGAAAGCTTCTGCACGTAAGTGATACAATCAAGAAAGTAAAGAGACAACCCATAGAATGTGAGAAAATATTTGTACACTACCCATTTGACAACAGATTACGAACCAGAATATATGAGGAGCTCAAACAACTCTATATTAAATACTCTAATAATCTGATAAAAAAAATGGGCAAAAGATTTGACTAGAAATTTCATGAAAGAAGACATACAAATCACAAGCAGGCACATGAGAAGGTGCTCAACATCATTGATTATCAGATAATTGCAAATCAAAACTCTACTGAGATAACATCTCACCTCAGTTAAAATGAATTACATAAAAAATACAGGCAATAACAAATGCTGATGAGGATGTAGAGATAAGAGAGTCTTTATAAACTGTTGATGGGAATGTAAATTAGTACAACCACTATGGATAACAGTGTAGAGGTTTCTCAGTAAACTAAAAATTGAGCTAATATATGATCCAGTCATCTTACTGCTTGGTATGTAAGCGAAAATAGCAAATCAGTGTATAAAAGAGATATTTGCCCTTCTATGTTTGTTTCAGTACTATTCACAATAGCTAAGACTTGAAAGCAAACTAAGTGTCCATCAACAGATGAATCGATGAAGAAATTGTGGTACATATACACAACAGAGTATATTTATCCACAAAAAGGAATAAGATTAAGTCATTTGCAACAAGGTAGATGAAATGGGAGATCATTATGTTAAGTGAAATAAGCCAGGAACAGAAAGACAAACATCACATGTTCTCACTTACTTGTGGGATCTAAAAATGAAAACAATTGAATTTGTACACAGAGATATTATAAGAATGCTTACCAGAGGCTGGGAAGGGTAGTGGAGAGTTGGGAGTTAGGAGGGAGGTTAATTAGTACAAAAAAGTAGAAAGAATTAATAAGACCTAGTATTTTGTAGGACAAGGTAACTATAGTCAAAAATAACTTAATTGTATATTTTTAAATAACTTAATATAATTGGACTCTTTGTAACTGAAAGAATAAATGCTTGAGGGGATGCATACCCCATTCTCCATGACGTGCTTATTTCACATTGCATGCCTGTATCAAAACACATCATGTACCCCATGAATATATACACATACTATGTACCTACAAAATTTTTTTAAAAATTAAAAAATACAGACTGTGGCTGAATAGATGAAAAAACAAGACTTCGTGATCTGTTGCCTACAACAAACACACTTCATCTATTAAGACACACATACTCTAAAAATAAAAGAATGGAAAAATATTTTATTTCAATATAAACCAAAGATGCAGGAGTAATTATATCAGACAAAATAGATTTCAAGACAAAATGTGTAAGACAAGTCCAAGAAAATCACAATATAATGATAAAAGTAAAAGTGTCAATTCAGTAATAGGATATAACAATTTTAAATATATATATATATATATATATATATATATATATATATATATATATATATATATATACATACACACACACACACACACACATTGAACACTGAAGCACCTGAATGTATAAAGCAAATATTATTAGAGCTAAACAGAGAGATGGATCCTGATATGATAATATCTGGAAACTTCAACACTTAATTATCAACCTTGAATAGATCTCCCAGACAGAAAATCAGCAAAGAAACGTCCAACTTAATCTGCACTATACGCCAAATTTACCTAACATATATTTATATAACATTTCATTCAACAGCTGCACAAAACACATTTTTTTCCTTAGCACATTGATCATTCTCAAGGATAGACCGTATGTTGTCACAAAACCAATCTTAAAACATTCAAAAATTTAAATAATATCAAGAAAATAGATTTATTTGGCTTACAATTCTAATGGCTATAAAGTTCAAGATTGGGCATCTGTATTGGTTGATGTCCTCAGATTGCTTCCAGTTATGGTGGAAGTTGAAGGATGGCCAGATTGTGCACAGATCACAGGGTGAGAGAGAAGCAGTGTTGGGAGGCAGGTTCTTTTCAACAACCAGAACTCATAGAATCTAATGGAGGGGGAATTCACTTATTCCCAAAGGAGGGCAGCAATCTATTCACGTGGGACCAGCCACCTTGACAAAAACAGCTCCCATTAGACCCCACCTCCAAAACTGTGAATCAAATTTAAACATAACATTTAGAGAAACAGACATTCAAACCATAGAAATATTATAGAACCTGTGAGACAATGTTACACTATAATGATGATTATCTAATAACTATTATTGACTTGTGTCTTTGTTTTTTGCTACCATAAGAATATAACACACAGGATAACATATGAAGACATTTATTTCCAAACAGTTCAGAGATTAGGAAGTCCAAGATACAGGAGTTAGTATCTGTTGATGGTGTTTTCACTGCATCATTCTATGGTGGAAGGGCAAAGAGATAATGGGAGAGAGCAAAATATAAACTTGCCCTTTTATAATCAGCAATAAGGCATTCATGAAGGTGGAGTTCTCTTGATCTAAACAGCTTCCATTAGTTCTCACCTCCCATCACTGTTGCAATAAGGATTAAGTTTCCAATGCGTTTTTTGTTTGTTTGTTTGTTTGTTTGTTTTTGTAACTTAGGTTAAGGAGTACTTGAGCAGTTTTGTTATATGGGGAAATTGCGTGTCATGAGGGTTTGCTGTGCAGATTATTTTGCCACCCAGGTAATAAGGGTATCACCTGATATGTAGTTTTTTGTTACTCACCTTGCTTTCTTCCTCCATCCTCTAGTAGTCCCTGGTGCCTACTGTTCACTTCTTTGTGCCTATATGGACTCAATATTTAGTTCTCACTTATGAGTGAGAACATGTGGTATTTGGTTTTCTGTTCCTGTTTTAGTTCACTTAGGATAATGTCCTCCAGCTCTATCCATGTTGCTGCAAAGGACATAATTTCATTCTTTTTTATGAGTGTATATTACGTTGGTGCAAAAGTAATTGCAGTTTTTGCCATTACTTTCAATGGCAAACATCACAATTACTTTTGTACTAACCTAATAGTATTCCATGATGTAGATGTACCACATTATCTTTATCCAGTTACCATTGATGGGCATTTAGGTTGATTCCATTCTTTGCTATTTTGAATAGTGTTGTGATGAATATATGCATGCATATGTCTTTGTGTCTTTATGGTAGAGCAATTTATATTCCTTTTAGTATATACCTAATAACGGAATTGCTAGGTTAAATGGTAATTCTACTTATAGTGTTTGGGAGATCACCAAACTCCTTTCCACAAAGACTGAGCTAATTTACATAGCCATCAGCAGTGTATAAGCATTCCCTTTGCTCCACAACCTTGTCAGCATCTGTTATTTTTTGACTTTTAGATAATAACCATTCTGACTAATGTGATATGCTATCTCATTGTGGTTTTGATTTGCATTTTTCTAATAATCGGTGATGTCAACCTCTTTTTATATACTTGTTAGTTGTGTGTATGTCTTTTAAAAAGGGGCTGTTTGTGTTCTTTGTCCACTTTTTAATGGAGCTGTTTGTTTTTTGCTTTTAAATTTAAGTTTCTTATAGATTCTAGTTATTAGACCTTTTTCACATGCATAGTTTGCAAATATTTTCTCCCATTATGTAGACTGTCTGTTTATTCTGTTGATAGTTTATTTTGTTGTGCAGAAGCTCTCTAGTTTAATTAGGTCCCATTTGTTAACTTTTGTTTTTGTTACAATTGCTTTTGGCATCTTTATCATAAAATTTTTTTCAGATCCTATATCCATAATGGTATTTCCCAGGTTATTTTTCAGGGTTTGTATAGTTTTAGGTTTTCCATTTAAGTTTTTAATCCATCTTGAGTTGACTTTAGTATATGGCATCAGGAATTTATCCAATTTCAATTTTTTGCACATGGTTAGCCAGTTATCCCAGCACCATTTATTGAATATTGAAGTCCTTTTACCGTTGCTTGTTTTTCTCAACTTTGTTAAAAATCAGATGGTTGTAGGTGTGTGGCTTTATTTCTGGGGTCTATATTCTGTTCCATTGGTTTCTGTGTCTGTTTTTGTACCAGTACCATGCTCTTTTGGTTACTGCAGCCCTGTGCTGTATTTTGATGTCAGGTAATGTGATACCTCTGGCTTTGTCTTTTCTGCTTAGGATTGCCTTGGCTATTCATGTTCTTTTTGGTTTCACATAAATATTAAAATACTTTTTTTTCTAATTCTGTGATAAATATCATAAGTAGTTTGGTAGGAATAACACTGAATCTGTAAATTGCTTTGGGCAGTATGACCATTTTATTAATGTTGTATTTTCCAATCCATGAGCATAGAATGTTTTTCCATTTATTTTTGTCTTCTCTGGTTTCTTTGAGTATTGTTTTTTAATTCTCATTGTAGAAATTTTTCCCCTACCTGGTTAGATGTATTCTTAGATCTTTTATTCTTGTGTGGCAATTCTGAATGAGAGTGCATTCTGAATTTTGTTCTCAGCTTAGTTCATTTTTCTATGTTGAACCTTCCCTTTAACCTAGGAATACAGTTACATCTTGAACAACCTCCATGTTGTTCAAGTGTCAACTGTATACATGTATAATCTTTTTAGTGTGCTATTGGATTCTGTTAGCTACTATGTTATTGTGGACTTTTGCATCAGTATTTATTAGAAATTTGGTTTATAGTTTTCTTATTTTATGGTATCTTTTTCTGGCCTTGATATTGGGATAATGCTAGACCAACTGAATGCATTTAGAAGTGCTCTCTACACTTCCATTTTTGGAAAATTTTAAAGGGTGTTAGTGTCAATGTTTTAATTGTTTCCTAGAGTTCACCAGTGAAATTATGTTCTCCTGGTCTTTTTCTTGTTGAGATGTTTGTAATTATTGATGCCATCACCTGACTACTAATAAGTCTTTTGTGATTTTCTATCTCTTAGTAGTTTAGTTTTGATATTTGTGGTTTTCTAGGAATTTGTTCATTTCATGTAGTTTACCATACAAAAATTTATGTTCTCTTTTTTATTTCTATAAAAACAGTCTTACTATCTGCTTTCACTTCTGTTTTCAGTTACTTGAGACATTTATATTTTTCTTAGTCAATATAGCTAAAGTTTTGTCAATTTTGCTGATCTATTTGAGGAACCAGTTCTTGGTTTCATCAGTTTTCTCGATTGTTTTTCAATTATTTATTTCTGCTTTAATTGTTATTATATCCTTTCCTCTGCTAGCTTTGTGTTTAGTTTGTTCTTCTTCTAGTTCCTTGAGATATATATTCAGGCTATGGATTTGATATCTTATTTTTTAATAAAAGCATTTTCAGATATAAATGCACCTCTTAGTACTACTTTCACTGCATTCCATAAGTTTTGATATGTTGAGTTTTTATTTTCATTTCAAGATATATTTTAATTTTCCTTATAATTTATTCTTTGTTCCATTGGTTGTTTAAAACTGTGTTTAATTTCTAAATATTTATAGATTTTCAATTTTTTTCTGCTTTTGATTTAGTTCTATTCCATTGTGATCAAAACAGATACGTAATACAATTTAAATATTTTTAAATCTATTAAGACTCTCTTTTTGTTTATCCTCAGTATTATTTCTTGAACACTTGAGAAAAAATGTATGCTGCTATTTTTGAGTGAATTTTTATATATCTCTGTTAGTTTCAATTGGCCAATAGTAGTTTTTCTTTGAGTCTTCTAGTTTTTTATGGAAGTTATGGGTGGTTTTTCTGTACAATATTGTAAATGAGGTACCCAAGTCTCCTATTACTACTGTAGAGATGTGTATTTCTTCCCTCAATTCTGGTCAATCTATGCTCCATATATTTAGGACATCTGATGTTGGTGCATATATGTCTGTAATTGTTATAATTTCCTATTGAATTGAGTTTGTTATAATTATGTACATAATGTCCTTCTTTGTCTCTATTAATAGTTTCTTTTGAAGGAATCATTAGAGTTTCCTATGTATACAGTCATATTATTCACAAACACTGATAGTTTGACTACCTCTTATCCAATGTGGATGCCCTTTATTTCTTTCTCTTGTCTGATTGCTCTGGCTAAGACTCCAGTAGTCTGTTGAATAGAAGTGGTGAGAGTGGGCATCCTTGTTTTGTTCCAGTCTGGTTTGTTCATGCTTTGAACGTTTCCCCCATTGAGTATGAATCTGGCTGTAGTTTTGTCATATATGCCTTTATTATTTTGAGGTAAGTCCCTTTTATGCTTGGTTTGTTCAGAGTTTTTATTATAAACAGATGCTGAATTTGACTGAAGTCTTTCTGCTTCTATTGAGTTGATCATATGGTTTATATTTTTATTTCTTTTTAATCTGATGTATCAAATCTATTGACTTTTATATATTAAAGTATCATTGGATCCCTGGGATGAAACCCACTTGATCTTGGTATATTATCTTTTTGATGTGCTGTTGAATTCAATTAGCTAGTACTTTGTTGAGGATTTTTGCATCTATGTTCATCAGAAATATTAGTCTGTAGATTTCCTTTTTGTTGTTGTTTTGTCCTTTTCTGATTTAGGTATCAGGGTGATACTAGCTTCAGAGAATAAGCCATGGAAAATTGTTTCTTTCTCAATCTTTTGGAATAGTTTCAGTAGGATTGGTACCAATTCTTCTCCGAATGTCTGGTGGAATTCAACCATGAATTTATCTGCTAATGGACTGGTTTTTTTTGGCAATTTTTAAATTCCTGATTTCATCACATTGCTTGTTATTTATCTGTACAGGGTTTCTATTTCTTCTTCATTTAATCTAGAAGGGTTGTATGTTCAGGAGTTTTTCCATTTTCTCTAGATTTTCTAGTTTGTATGTATAAAGGTGTTCAGAATGGTCTCAAATAATATTTCGTATTTATGTGGTGTCAGTTGTTATGTCTTCATTTTTATTTCTAATTGAAGGTATTTGATTCTTCTATTTTTGGTTAATCTATCTAGTGGTCTATCAAATTTGTTTTGTAAAAGAACCAACTTTCTATTTTATTGATCTGTATTTTTTTGTTTCAAATTCATTTAGTTATTCTCTGATATTTGTTGTTTCTTCTCTTCTGCTAGCTTTGGGTTTAGTTTGCTCTTGTTTCTCTAGTTTTTAATGTGTGACATTTGGTTGTCAATTTGCGATCTTTTAAACTTTTTGATGTAGGCATTTAACACTTCAAATTTTCACCTTAGCATTGCTTTTGCTGTTTCTGGGAAATTTCGAGATCTTGTGTCACTATTTACAGTGTGGGCATTAAAAAAATTTTTTAAGTGTCACTCTTATCATTTATTTATTTATTTATTTTTGGAGATGGAATCTCTTTTGCTTAGGCAAGAGTGCAGTGGCATGATCTTGGCTCACCACAACTTCTGACTCCCAGGTTCAGGCGATTCTCCCACCTCAGCCTCTGGAGCAGTTGACATTACAGGTGCATGCCACCACAGCCAGCTAATTATCATTTATTTTAATCTTCACTTTGTTTTCATTGTTAACCTAAAAATCATTCAGGAGCAAATTGTTTAATTTCCATGCATTTCTACCATTTTGAGGGTCTTTTTGGAATTGATTTCTAATTTAATTTCACTGTGGTCTGAGAAGTTACTTGATATTTATTTGATTTCTTAAAATGTGTTGATACTTACTTTGTAGCCTATAATTTGGTCTATCTTGGAGAATGTTCCATGTCCTGATGAGAAGAATGTATGTTCTGAAGTTCTTGGGTAAAATGTTCTGTAAATATCTTTAGATCCACTTGTCCTAGAGTATAGTTTAAGCCCATTATTTCTTTGTTGACTTTCTGTCTCAATGATCGGTGTAGTGCTGTCAGCGGAGTGTTGTTGTCCTCCACTATTAGTGTGTTGCTGTCTATCTCTTTTCTTAGGTCTAGTAGTAATTGTTTTATAAATCTGGGTGCTCCAGTGTTAGGTGCATATAAATTTAAGATTGTAATACTTTCTTGTTAAATTGATTTTTTATCATTATATAATAATGTCTTTTTTTTTTACTTGTGTTCCTTTAAAGTCTGTTTTATCTGATACAAAAATAGATATTCCTGCTTGCTTTTGATTTCTATTTGCATGGAGTATCTCTTTCTACCCCTTTATCGTGACTTTATGTAAATCCTTGCATGTTAGGTAAATCTCTTGAAGATGACAGATATTTGGTTTTGATTTTTTTTTAATCTATTCTGCCAATCTCTACCTTTTAAGTGGAGTATTTAGGCCACTTACATTAAATGTCAATGTTGAGATATGAGATACTGTTCTAGTAATTATGTTAATTTTTCCCTAGATATGTTTTTTTCGTTGTGTTATTGTTTTATAGGCCCTGTGAGTTTTATGCTTTCAGGAGGTTCTAGTCTGGTGCATATCAAACTTTCGTTTCAACATTTTGAACCCCTTTTAACATTTCTTGTAGGGCTAGTTTGGTAGTGACAAGTCCTTCAGCATTTGTTTGTCTGAAAATGATTTTATTTATCCTTCATTTATGAAACTTGGTTTTGCTGAACACAAAATTTTTGGCTTACAGCTATTCTGTTTAAGGAGACTAATGATGAGACCCCAGTCCCTTCTGGCTTGTATGGTTTCTGCTGAGAAGACTGCTTTTAATTTGAGAGGTATTCCTTTATAGGTTACTTGATGCTTTTGTCTCACTGCTCTCTGAATTATTTCCTTTATGTTGATTTTAGATGGCTTGATGACTATAAGCCTTCATGATGTCCTTTTTGCAATCAGTCTCCCAGGAGTTCTTTAAGCTTCTTGTGCTTGAATATGTAAATCTCTAGTAAGCTAAAAAAAAGTTTTCCTCAATTATTTCCTCAAATAAGTTTTCTGAACATTTTGCTTTCTCTTCTCCCTCAAGAATGCCAATTATTCTTAGTTTTGGCCTTTTTGCATTATCCCATATTTCTTGAAGATTTTGTTCATTTATTTTGACCCTTTTTTCTTTAATTTTGTCTAATTGGGTTAATTTGAAAGCCTTGCTTTTGTGCTCTGAAATTCTTTCTTCTACTTGTTTTAGTTCATAGTTAATATTCTCCACTGCATTTTGTAATTCCCTAAATGTGTCTTATAATTATTTTTATAATTATTATATTACATTATATTATTAGTATTTCTTCTCATTATTGTTGAGTTTATTTTTGATTTGTCTGTGCTTCATGTAATCTTTTTGTCTTAATTATATTACTTTAATGCTTTTAGTTTGTTGTAGCTTAATTTGGCTCTTTATGCTTTCACGGATGAAGACCGTATGAGGTTTTTGGTTACAGAGTCTTTGTATGGTGCTGGTTATATTAGCCATGTGCTCAGTGTTTGAGCAAGTTCACTGTTTCCTACGCGATTGGAATGACAGAGGTCTCTTGAAGCATATCTCATTCCCCCATGGTGTACATCTATTCATTTTTCCCCTAGGATTTCATTTACTGCATTATATAGTTCAGGTTTCAGGCCAGTAGCTGTGGTGTCCCTGAGTAGAAACCGTTTGTGGCTAAAGCTAATTGAAATATGTAATGGTGGGCAAAGATCCAAGCACTGACAGACATGCCTCGGGAAGCTCTCAGTAGAATGCATTGGGTTCTTGTCAGGGGGAAGGGTTGGAGCAAACTCACCTCCCCTCTCAGGCCACTAGCAAAGTGATCCACCTCACAGACACACTTCTGACCTAGTGTTCCGGCTATTCAGATTACACAGCCACCTCTTTACATCTACAAGAATGTTGATTTTCCAAGTAGAGAGGCACTGTGGCTTTAGTTCTTGTGCAAGCCTGAACCTGGAGGATGCTCCTCCTTTGGCCATGCAGTCACCCTGAAGTGTTCCACAAAGGCTGTCTACACATACATGCACATACACTGACCTACCATGGGGGAAGCCCTAGCTGTGTCTTTAGTGGTGAATGAGGAAAAAGAAGTTCCCTTCTACAAGACCCTTCATGATCACAGGGGCTGCCTGACTGTTGGGATAGAGTTACAGGCTTTACCCACTGAGCCCAGGACTACAACTGTGCCTCTCCTGAAACTTCTTAAGCAGACTTAAGTCCTGCTGTCTGGATTCTTTTGTCCCATGGGGTGTTCCTGAGAGCCAGGTTACTATGAATACTGATGCTTCTCTGGGCTTAGCCACCCAGTTGGGCTGTCACACTCTAGGTTGGTGCTGGGGAATGTTTGCAAGATATCCAGTGATGTGACCATCTTCAAGTCTCCCAGTGCTGACTACCAGCACCAGCTCTGATAGGGGTGGCAGGGGAGTGGTGTAGACTCTGTGATTCTTGGTTATAATTAGCCTTAGTGTGATTTTTCCTCAAATGCCAGTTTTAGTAGTAATGAACTGGTAATATGGACAAACTCAGGACTTCCTGCCAGGATGGTGCAGGCAATAGTGATAGCTGAGGTCATCCATAAGTTTTCTCCTTCCTAGGTGCAGTGTTATTCTACCTGCAGGTGCTGTAATGGACTGTATCAGTTGGCCTCCAGCCAGGGGGTGGCACTTGAAAAAAAGCCCCAGCTGTGGTAATAGCATTGAAATTTGGGCTTGCCTTATATTACGTAGGGAAGTATTCTGGTTTCTCAGGTGGTGGGTCGGGTTACAGACATCCCAAAATTGTGTGTGTGTGTGTGTGTGTGTGTGTGTGTGTGTGTTTGTGTGTGTGTATTAAGCTACCAGGGCAGGTGGAGGGACAAAGCCAGATGGGGGCTGAGTCAGGCAGGTCTGTGATCTGGCTTTCCACGTACAGGACAGGCAGAAGCCTTTTTGGGGGTAGGGAGGGTGGTTCTCTGGCCACTGGAGTACTTTTTTAGGGAGAAGAATAGCTGCACCTGCTGCACAGAAAAGCTAATGCAGGGAGTGGGGAGTAGCAGGTGGCTGTAAGCCCCATCCATCTCCTACACACTTGGCAATGCATGTCTCACACATGCAGTGTTCTGCTAGCAGCAGATAGCTAATTTCCAGGCAGTCTATGCTCAGAACTCAAAGTTGCACCAAACCATAAGCCTTCCTTCAGAGACGGCAACTTCAGCTTTCAGGCCACACCCCTCCCAGTCCACCTGCAAGGCCAGGACACCCAGCTCCTATACTCATGGCTGCAGTACACTTCCTGCTTGTCTCCTGGTTCCAGCCAAGGAAGTTTGCCCCCAATCAAGATTATAGCAAGTATTTTAGTTGGAAGCTTTTCTCAACCTGTGACCACTGACTGAGTTAGCTAGCTGACTTCCAAAAAGTCCCCTGTGACAAAGAATTGGGAATGGCTTCCCTTGGTCTGTGCTGGAGACAAGGAATGCCCACAAGGCTCTTTCTGCTGCTGCTCCTACTTTTATATTCCCTGCTGCTCCCTAAATCAATTCCAGTGCTGGGTAGGATTAAGACCTTCCCTTGTGGGCTGTATTGTCAGGTTCCCCAGTGGGGCTGTATACCCTGGAGGCAGTCGTCTCCCTCTCACACTCTGGCGACTTTGCAGTTTTTTGCCTGGCTCACAGTCTAAGCTGCAGCCTGATGCTTCTTTCAAAGCGTCTGTGGTTTCTTTCAGTTTTCCAGTTAAATTCCTGTGTTACTTCTTGGAATAACGTTTATAGTGTGAATCTCTATGCCATATTTTGTCTCTCCAAGTGGGAGAGGCATGCTAACATTGCCTGCAATTCACCACCTTAGAAAAAAAATCACATTGTTTTCTTCCTGTGTTTTATGAATATGAAAAGTGCTGCATTTTTCCTTATGTGAATGTATTTCTATCACATAGATTCCGTGATGTATAATTGCTGAAAGAGAAAAGATAAAGAGAAATAGACCAACCGAATGAGAGAATATAGCAAAAAAGAGGGGGAAAAGGAGAGAGAAAGGGAGGGAGGAACTGACAGACAGAAAAGGGAGGAAGGAGGGAGAACCAAGTATATTAAGAGTGGCAGAGGAATGAGGGTATATTTCCATTTAATTTTTATAGCTCTAACAAGCTTACCTTTTCAAACGGATTATAAAAATTTATAAATCTACTGCTAATGAATAAGAGTATCATTTTTCACAGATCCTTACCAGGAATGCTTACCTAGGAGAGCAATAGTTATTGCTATTTTTCTCATTTTTCTATTGAGCCTTTTGTCTTTTTTTAACTAGAAAAATGTGTACCTTTTCAGTAAAAAAGTTCTGTCCCCTATTTTGCATACAATTTTTCCTGATTTATCATTTATCTTTTGACTTTTTATATTGCATCTGTTGTCATAGAAAAAAATTATTTTTTATAGCCAAGCATTTCTTTCTTTTGTTTTATAGCTTCTGTGTTTCCTGTCTTAAAAAATTCTCCCCTCCCAGGTTATTGGTTGTATATATAATTTAAAATATCGAAATATGTTATTGCTTTAGATTTTACATTTACATATTTAATATATCTGGAATTTATTTCTGAATATGATATTCCATAGAAGTTCTATTTTTTTACTCCCAGATACATAACAACTTGTGCTAATTCCATTTATTGAATGAAACATCTTTCACTATTTGAATAAAATAATGCTTTATATATGGTTGAATATTATATACAAGGATCTACCTCTGGGCTCTCTTTCTGTCCTAATGATCTATTTATTCATACTTTTGCCAGTACCATGTTGTTTTGGTATGTTTGAACGCTAAGCTCCTTCTTAGTTTTTCTATGCCTCTATATGTCCGTGTTTTTGGCTATTCTAAATTATTTGACTTTTTAGTTGAATCTTAAGAGAGTTTTACCCAATTTGACCTTAAATCTGTGTGTTGGAATGTATATCCAGAAATGGCCATATGCCACAATCTCTTCTTACAATCTTTTTACAATGTAACTTTGATTCTGCTTTTGATTGTCAAATGTGACAATTTGTGATTTTCAAGCATAAGCCATAACACTTTTGTTTGTTTTGCTCATGTTTCTTTTTCACAGAATCCAGGCAACTTACCATGAGAAAATCCATGCAGCCATGCAGGGAGACCCGCTTAAGGAGGGACTGAGGAACCAAAGTCCGTGGCTCACAGACTCAGCTGAACTCTGAGTCAGCTCCAACTTGCCAGCCAATTGATTGAACAACTTGAAGTGAAAGATTCCAGTTAAAATCCAATATTAAATAAGTTAAAGATTGGATAAAATGACTCTAAATTTCATACGAAAGAGTAAACATCTGGGAATAATCATTATCTATTTTTCAGAACTCTGCACTCATTTCCACACAGTGAAAGAGAATATATATAGTTTCTGAGTTTAAAAAAGCTACAGTTTATTTATTTATTTATTTATTTTTATTATTATACTTTAATTTCTAGGGTACATGTGCACAACATGCAGGTTTGTTACATATGTATACATGTGCCATGTTGGTGTGCTGCACCCATTAACTCATCATTTATATCAGGTATTTCTCTTAATGCTATCCCTCCCCCTACCCCCACCCCACGACAGGCCCCCATGTGTGATATTCCCCTCCCTGTGTCCAAGTGTTCTCATTGTTCGATTCCCATCTATGAGTGAGAACATGCGGTTTGGTTTTCTGTTCCTGTGTTAGTTTGCTGAGAATGATGGTTTCCAGCTTCATCCATGTCCCCGCAAAGGACATGAACTCATCCTTTTTTATGGCTGCATAGTATTCCATGGTGTATGTGTGCCACATTTTCTTAATGCAGTCTATCATTGATGGACATTTGGGTTGGTTCCAAGTTTTTGCTATTGTGAATAGTGCTGTAATAAACGTACATGTACACACATGTATATCATATATATATGTACGTATCTTGGCTATTGTGAATAATGCTTCAAGGAACATGGAGGTGCACATCTCTTCCAGAGATTGTAATTTCATTTCCTTCAAATGTATATTCAGAGTTGGAAATGTTGGATCAAATGATGGTTTTATTTTTATTGAGGAACCTCCATACTGTTTTCCATAATAGCTATACTAATTTACATTCCCATCAACAGTGTACAAGATTTCTCTTTTCTCCCATCCTTTCCAGCATTTGTCATTTATATTTTAATAATAGGCATCCTAGCAGGTTGGAGTTATATCTCATTGTGGGTTTCACTTGCATTTTCTTAATGATTAGTGATTTTGGGCACCTTCTCATATAACTGATACTCATTTTTGTCTTTTCTATAGAGGAATATTTATTCAGGTCTTTTGCCCATTTTTAAATCAGGTCTCTGTTTTGTTTTGTTTTGTTTTTGCTACTAAGTTGTGTTAGCTCCTTACAAATTTTGTATATTAACCCCACACCAGACATATGTTTTGGAAATATTTTCTCCCAGTGTGTAGGTTGCAACTGTCTATAGCAAAGACAATTCTGAAGAAAGCTTATGGCTGAGGACTCTCTAGTGGCAAAATTCTGAGTAGCTGGGTGATTACATTCTTTATTCCTGAAATCTAATCTGAAGGAGAAGTATAGTTTCCAATACAGAGTTCAGTTTCATTTTTCTTGCAAAGAAATAATCAGATTACTTAAAAGAGTAAAGAAAGAAACACACAAGTAAATGAAGCTCTGTTAAATTTTATTACAGACACATGTGTAAAGTGTTTACCAATCACACCACAAGCAATGAATCTTAAGGCAAAATAAGTTTTTATATCTTGGGAATAGATGAAAGAAAATCCACTACAATGACAGGATATTATTATAAGCCATTCATGTGTAGTGTGGGATTATTATTAAAACATTGTGTCATGCACAATCACCATTGAATTGTTGTGTCATAGTCTATTTGACAGAATATTTTTTCTTAAAAGTATATAAGATAATTCATCTTAGAATCAATGCCATATTATATTTGATGAAGTAAGTTATATGTGAATGCTATTTTTAAAATCTAAACATTATGAATAAGATATAAAATGAAAAGAAAGCATCCAGTTTCTCTTCTTTTCTTGTTCGTAAGTTTTTCTCATGAAATAAACAACTATTAATAGTTTTCAAGAGACTATTGTTTTCTTCAACAGTTTATTTTGTAAATTTTCAATTCTACAGGACAAGTGATGCATACTAGAGTGAGAGCGCTCCCATAATTTTTATCTATGTACACACTCATACACACACACACACCCACACACGGACACATTTGTGAGGGGAGATAAATCATTTGAAATTATGTTTCAGATATCTTAAAATTATATATATATATATTCAACATGTATCTCCTAAGATAAAGACACACAAAACACCATTACCACACCCAAAATACTGAAAGAATAATCACATTTAAAATACAATATGTGTTAAAATTTCTTCAAATTCACAAAAATATTCTGTAGAGCTGCCCTCCACCCATTAAAAGGAAATAGTACTGAACATTTGTTAAAAATGGCAAGACATATTTAATTTGAGCCATTGCAGTAGCGGGAGAGATTTCAGTACAGAACTGAGCTCAACTTCAAATACAGCAAGGGAAGCTGAGGATTCACAGCCAAAGGGCAAGGTGAGAGTCAGTGAATAGAAAATTACTAAAAAGAATTTGATTAGATATCAAGGGTAGGGGAAGAGAAACTTGATGAGATATTGTGGCAAAAAACTCAAACTGTTTTTCCTCTGCTCTCTCAGCACAACAATAAACACAGAAGACTTCTGTGACCAAATATCGATGGGTTGAGGGGTGGTTCTTCCTATTTTAAGCAAGCCATCAGTTCTGCAACAGACACCAACTGAGTGTCCTTCAATTCAATTCCTGCACTATTTATCTGGAAATAGCATCAGGTTCCACAGGTTGATTGCTCCATCCCAAGACTGTCCCACACTTCAGACACCAGCAGCAAGTCAAGTCTCTGGAACTTCTGACTAATCAGCTTCAAGTTGATGGTCCCAGGATCTCCTCTTTGGGTTTGATTAATTTGCTAGGGTAGCTCACCGAACTCAGGGAAACATCTATGTTTGCCATTTTATTATAAAGGATATTACAAAGGATAGGCACAAAGAGATACATAGGGAAAGATATAGTGGGTAGTGGCATTGAGCCTCCATGCCCTCCCCAGGTGCACCACCCCCAGGAATCTCCATATGTTCAGCTATCTGGGAGCTCTGCTAACCCTGTCCTCTTGGGCCTTTTATAGAGACTTCATTGGATAGGCATGAGTGACAACCAAGCAGAAATGTAATTAGGCAAAAAGGTTTTGATCTAATATTAATAGACTGAGTGGGGAAGCCCAGCAAGGTCTGTCTTTTCAGATTCCTCTGGTCTCTTCTTGCAGCATTTCTTCCTCCAGGGTATGAAGCAGGACCCTCTCTGGAGTAATGATCTTATGACTCAACAATTAGACTAGAGTCCTGCCTTGGGCAGGTGGAGGGAGGGCAATGGAAGGTCAGAAAGACAGAATCTGTTTTCCGAGGCTTGCTACTGAGGCATAAAATGTCCCCAAATTATAGCAAGGGTTATGGGAATTATGAGCCAGGAACCATAAACAAAAAATCTTTATATATATATATACACACACACATACAAAATACATATATACACACACACTGTATATATATAATACCACAGGTATCAAGGGTAATGGTATTATCAATAAGCTGACTCAGCACAATTATTTGCTAAAGCTGGGCTTTTCAGCCCAAGGACAAGGCTTCCTAGTTGAGAAGTAAGCTCAGATCAGCCTCATTAAAGTTTGGTCAAGAAAATAGTCCTGGTCACCTCCCACACCCAAACCAGAATCTAATCAATAAACAGGCATTGCACTTGGTTTTTGCTTTGTTCTGAATGTTTGTCTCCCCCAAATAGGATGAAATCCTAACCCACAAAGTGATTGTATTAGGAAGTGGAGCCTTTTGGGAGGTGATTAGGTCATGAGGTCAGAGCTCGCATGTGCTTTTAGTGTAAAAGCTTGTAAAAGGCCTAAGAGAGTTCATTTGCTCCTTTCACTATGTGAGAACACAACTAGATGGTGCCGTCTATCAACCAGAAAGTGGAACCTCACCAAACGCTAAATATGCTGGAGCTTTAGTCTTGTGCTTTCCAGTCTCTAGAACTTTGAGAAACAAATATCTGTTATTTATAGACCACCCAGTTTCTGGTATTTTGTTAGAGTGGCCCAAATGGACTAAGACAGTTGTTAGGCTCCTTTTATTAGAAATAGTTCCTCCACATGTACGTGTCTTTTGGCATCTTGAAGAGTCCAGGGCAGTTACTTTTTAGAATTCCTACAACATGGATACACCTAATTGTTTCACCACGATTCAATTCAGACTGAGCATTTCAATAAAACTATTACAGAGGTCATGCTTTACAGACTATCTAGAAGTTGAGAAACAAAAGCTCTCTTTAAGCAGTATTATACAAGAAAATGAGACATGAGGTGCTATTAATTTGGAAAATCCCATTTTCTTCCCAAATAGACATGGCAGTTCCAGGGAATTAATATACATCCTAGGGCTTGTATTTCAAATAAAATAAAATTAGGAAAGCCTTCCCATTTCCAACATTTTTTTTAAATTATTATTATGAGTATATAATAGTTATATATATTTATGGGGTAAGTGTGATATTTTGATATAGGAATATAATGACCAAATCAGGGTAATTGGGGTATGCATTATCTCAAGCATTTATCATTTATTTGTGTTAGGAAAATTCCAATTCTACCCTTTTTGCTATTTTAAATTATACAATATATTACTGTTAACTACAGTCACCCTATTTTGCTACTGAATACCAGATCTTATTCATTCCATCTAACTGTATTTTCATACCCATTAGCCATCCCCACTTTATCCCCCCTTCTCTGCTACCCTTTGCAGCCTCTGGTAACTGTCGTTCTACTCTTTATCTCCATGAGTTCATTTTTTTTTTTTAACTCCCACGTATGAGTGATGACATATTTGTCTTTCTATGCCTGGCTTATTTTCCTTAAAATAATGTCCTCCACTTCCATCCATTTTATTTTCAATGTCATGATTTTATTCTTTTATGGCTGAATAATATTCCATTGTGTATACAAAATTCAACAACTCTGCTTCCCCCTGAGATATAGCGACCTACTGGTCACTATAAATATCCACAGAAATAGTGACTATTTCACAAAAGTGTTTCTCTACCGAGACATGATGTCAACTGAGGTCACTCAGTGATTTTCAGCTAACAGCTGGTTATCTCTGGAGGGTCCAAAATATCAGCAATGGCTAGAAGCTGCACATATCTAAGTTATTCTCTCTCTCGCTCACTCGCTTGCTCACTTGCTGTTTCTATCATTTCAGAGCTTGTGCGAGTCTTCTCCATGGCACAGGAGTAGCACTTCAGGGCTCCAGGCAAGTGTTCTGCTGGGCAGGAAGTGGAGCCTGCCAATCTTTTAAGGACTGGGCCTAGAATCTGGCACAGCATAGCGTCTGTTGTATTGTAATGGTCAAAGCAGTTAGGGAATCCACCCAAATTCAAAGTCAGTATTATAGATCTCCCTCTCAATGGCAGTAGCATCAAAGAATCTGTGGGTATATTTAACTTGCCACACTCCCCTATATATATTATACTATTTTTTATTTTTAAAATTACAGTGAGTTGAAAAATTTAGTAAAGTAGTAAAGTCTTTGGCAAAAGACTTTTGTCACCCTTTTAGTCCCTATCAAATGAACAACAGTGTTTTTGCTTTCTTCCTAAAACTGAGAAACATTGGTTGTTTAAATATGTAGTATCTGGCCTTTATTGCTTACTTGTGATTGGGGTGTCTAACAGCACTCAGACTTTATCTAGGACTTTGGACTTTGCTCTCTGAAGGAAATTTCTAGATTATGGTCTTTGTAAATAAAAGAACAGTTTTGGTTTTTTTAAAGAATGCCTCTTAATTGAATATTTTAACAGTTATTTGGTTTTTTTTTTCACTTCAATTTGTAGGAGCTCTCTGTATTAGTGTTGTTAAATCTTACTCTGTCATTCATTTTTCCAATATTTCTACTCAGTCCATTCTTCATATTTTGTCTTTGTTTATGGTATCTTTACCAAATGCTATTTATTTAGGTAACCAAAATTTCCATATTATGCTTTATGCATTATGGATTAACTTACTGGCCTAATCATTCTCTTCAATCTTATCCTAAGTTTATATAAACATTTTACTAAATTTCCTCCTAATGTTAATATTACTATTTACTGTTATATCTACTACTATTAATACTTAGTACTCTTATTATATCTATTACCATCATTATCATTGTTATGTTTTATATTTTAGTCTAAGATACTATAAGTTTTATGATTAATCTCATTTTGTGTACCACAAAGAAAGAAAATGGCACTGGCAGTCCAACTGATACAATGCTTTCTTATCATTTATTACTTTATTAAAGACTTTAAAACACTTATTTAGATATAGTTTTTATAATGTACACCTGTACATTCATGAAAAGAAAAACATAAGGAGAAAATTGATTAAAGTACCCCAGCATGCAGGCACGTGCCTGTAGTCCCAGCTACTCAGAAAGCTGACGTGGGAAAATCCTTTGAACCCAGAAGTATGAGGTTTAAGTGAGCCATAATCATGCCACTGCACTGTAGCCTGGGTGACAGAGTGAGATTCTGTCTCAAAAAAATGCTGTTATAATTTCTTTACACCAAATGTCCAACTGTTCTGAATCTTTTTTTTTTTCAACTCACAGTCATGGATTTATTATTTATTTATTATTTAGCCACATAATACTGACCCCTTTGTCATTAACAGTTACTTCACTATTATCTACTTAATTTTCTTAGGAAACTCAGGCACCCATTCTGTAAGTTTTAATGTGTTCTTTTTCTTGGTCTTACCAGTAGGTATCAATGGACTCATTTCATCATCAAGTGGTTTTTATATGATTTACCGAATGAAATTTCAAGGAGTGAAGCTATGTAGTTATTTTACCCAAAATGACAATCAAATTGACAGTTGTGTTGGCAATGGCAACTATGTCATGATTGCCATCTATCCGTGAGCAATTACAAGACATCATTAGATTGTAAGATACATTCTATTTCAAATGAGTTATAATATGAAAAATAATTATGCATCTTAAAATAGATGTAATACTCTATATTATTCTGTTTCTTATTAGGTATTAAACCCATTTGGCACTTGCTTTTATATGCGGTAAGACTTAAGGATCTTGCTATATATTTGTTCCAATGAACAGTAGCATATTTTAAGAGATCATTACATGAAAATTCTTGTTTCCCCCGAAGGTGGAAAGCAACTGAAAGTTAGATACAAAATATTGTATCAGTATACAAGATACTGACGAAAATGTCAGCTTTATTACCAATGCAGACAATAAGAGGAAAACTACAGATCTCTACATACCTCTTTCCTCTCCTCCTAAGTATAGACCAGAACTATAAAAAATTATATAATGATTAAAATGCCCCATAATTCCAGTCTCCAATGTGATAGCCACTAGCCTTGATGAGGAAATGAGTCCATTGATACCTGTGGCTATGGAGTGCAGAAAAAAGGTCTAGTATAAATAGAGAATTGAATTTTTATTTGATTTAGTTTTACCTGGTTTAAAAATAAATAGCCACGTTTGCCATATGACTATTACATTAAACAGTGCAGGTGTAGAATATGCCATTAGTTCTATGCAATTAATAACCATGGACCAATGGATACCATCTACCATTAGGAGACCTTCTTGTCTTAGGAGAAGAATGAATAAGCAATAGATTGAGAATAAATTTGTTTATATATCTGAAAGTTGTCTGCATGGAATATATTCTATGGAAACTTGAGGTTATAGAAATATATGAATTCCCTTGTTACACATAGCCATGGGTGCTGACACAATATATTAAATAACTAATTAGGCCTCAAATAGCAGTAGTATGACTAACATCTAGCATAGAGTTTTCTATTGCTACCTAACTATATTACCAACACTTAGTGACTTAAAACAACACATATTTATTATCTCTCAGTTATTGTTGGTGAAGGTTCTTGTCATGGCTTTATTGGGTGTTCTGCAAGGCTGCAATCATGATGTTGGCCAGGACTGAGTTCCCATCTGAAAGCTCACCTGGGAAAGAGTCTGATTTCAAACTAATATGGTTTTCAGCAATATGCAGTTTCTTGCAGGCTGTTAGACTAAGAGCTTCAATTTCTTTCTGACTTTCAGTCAGAGGATGCTTTCAGTTTATTCCCATGTGGCTCTCTCCATAAGACAGCTCACAACATGGCAGCTTTCTTCTTAAAAGCCAGCAAGGGAGAGAGTGATTCTGATGCATGTTCAAGGTTGATGATCACTGCATTTTCCCCACAGAATTGAAATGCTAACCGTGTCATACATGTGTAAGAGATTGATAGTTGTCTATCAATATCTGTTCTCCCCTTCTTTTATAGTTTGATATCCTCTACTTGTCAGCAAGGCACATGACTGCCTAAAAATAAATATTTCATTTCGGGCTGATCTTGCACTACATATGGCTAAGACAAATTCTAGGTGAGCATGTAGACTTCTCTGAAAGTGACCTTAAAAGGATGGAGTTTTGCCCTTATTTTTCCTTTTTTTCTTTCTTGCAGACTGTAATCCAGGTGGGATGAATGAAACAGAAGCAGCTGCCTTGGATCATGAATGACCTCGAGAATTGAGACCACACAATATAACAAAAAAAAGATAGAAGGAGTCAATATCACTGACACAGCAGCATTGCATACCAGACTTAATTTTTTTCTCCAGATGAATGAGGAAAGCAACATTTTCTTTTTAAAGCCACTGGTATTTTGGGTCTCTTGGAGTAAAGCTTAATCCTAACATTATATATGTACTTGGATCTATTTCCCTCTAATCTTTAACTTTCAAAGTTCTATTTTTCTATTTCTGTCTCAGAGTCATATCATATCACATGGACTATATTTGTATAGTAAATTTTTACATCTGGTGAGGCAATTCTCTCTCCTTATTAATCTTATTTTTAAGAAAATATTTGCTTGAATTTTAAAGTAATTTTATGTGCTTCACCCACTTTTTGATGGGGTTATTTGCTTTTTTCTTGTAAATTTGTTTAAGTACCTTGTAGATTCTGGATATTAGACCTCGGTCAGATGAATAGATTGCAAAAAATTTCTCCCATTCTGTAAGGTTGCCTGTTCACTCTGATGATAGTTTCTTTTGCTGAGCAGAAGCTCTTTAGTTTAATTACATCCCATTTGTCAATTTTGGCTTTTGTTGCAATTGCTTATGGTGTTTTAGTTATGAAGTATTTGCCCATGTGGCCAAGAAACATGAAAAAACCCTCATCATCACTGGTCATTAGAAAAATGCAAATTGAAACCACAGTGAGGTACCATCTCATGCCAGTTAGAATGGCGATCATTAAAAAATCAGGAAACAGCAGATGCTGACAAGGATGTGGAGAAATAGGAATGCTTTTACGCTGTTGGTGGGAGTGTAAATTAGTTCAACCATTGTGGAAGACAGTGCAGCAATTCCTCAAGGATCTAAAACCAGAAATACCATTTGATCCAGCAATCCCATTACTGGGTGTATACCCAAAGGATTATAAATCATTCTACTATAAAGACACATGCACATGTATGTTCATTTCAGCACTATTTACAATAGCAAAGACTTGGAACCAACCCAAAAGCCCACCAATGATAGACTGGATAAAGAAAATGTGGCACATATACACCATGGAACACTATGCAGCCATAAAAAAGAATGAGTTCATGTCCTTTGCAGGGACATAGATGAAGCTGGAAACCATCATCCTCAGCAAACTAACATGGGGACAGAAAACCAAACACCACATGTTCTCACTCATAAGTGGTAGGTGAACAATGAGAACCCATGGACACAGGGAGGGGAACATCACACAACGTGGCCTGTCAGTGGGTGGGGGAAAAGGAGAGGGAGAGCATTAGGACAAATACCTAATGCATATGGGGCTTAAAACCTAAATGACGGGTTGATAGGTGCAGAAAACCACCATGGCACATGTATACCTATGTACCAAACATGCACATTCAGCACATGTATCTCAGAACTTAAAGTAAAATAAAAAGAATAATATTTTTATGAAGATTCCCAAAATAATAACTCCTTTGGGAGTTATTATTACTGGATGCAGTAAAGAAATGTATTACATTACAAGGTCTTCATATTTTGATGGTATTATATCTTCTCATCTGAGACCATGGCTTGTTCTTCCATTTAGACAGATTTGTTTTTATGTTTTCTATTAAATTTTATAGATTCACGTAGATTTTGTCCCATTTTTTTGAAATTTATTACAAAGTATTTGATGGTGGTGTTATTAGTGTGAATGAGATATTTTTCTTCTGTTTTTAGTAGGGTAGTATACAAAAATGTATATATTGATTTTTTATGATAAAAATTTGATCACAAAAAATTAATAATAATTGTACCATCAAATTGTCTTAATTCTAATAACAGAAAGAAGTGTCTTTTGAATTACTAGAATACTTTTATTTTTGAGTGTTTAAAAATTTTTTCAACATTTATACTGAATGTTTCATTTGCTTATTGCATTGCATCAGCTAAAATCTCCAAAAATATTGTTGAATAATACTGAGGATGGCAGCTATCAATCTTTTTCTGACAGCAATGAAAATTCGTATTGCATTATAAACTATGTTTGCTCCTAGTTTTGTGGCAAAATGTATTTATCAATTTTCACAGTTCCTTTTAATTTGTACCTAAATTTTTATTTTAGTTGAATGTTTATTTTGACATCTATTGATGCAATCATATATTTCCCCTTAAATTTATTGATAGAGTGAATTCTTTAGACAGATTTTCTTAAAAAAAACACCAAATTTTGCATTTAAGAAATAAAACATATTCAGACATCATGGTATTATTCTCTTCATTTATTACTCAATTTGATTGACTAAGATTTGTTTTAAATTTTTTCACTTACATTTTTAATTACATTTGCTACCATTTTCTTATTTTGCACTACTGTTTTTAGTTTTAAGTAGAAAAATTTTTTTAGTTTCATATGATGAATTATGGAGATTTTAAATAGTTTCTTACAGATGGAATGAGTTTGGATAATGTGGAAGTTTTCTTAGAAGAAAACACAAGGGAAAAGCGTGTTGACATTGGCCTTAGCGATGATTTCTTGGATATAATACCAAAAACACAGGAAACAAAAGCATACACAAAGGGAAGTACATTAAACTTAACAGCTTCTGCACAGCACAAGAAACATCCAGCAAAATAAAGAAAAATAATAATTAAAAAAAAAACCTATGGCATGGGAGAAAATATTTGCAAGCCATATATCTGATAAAGGCTTAATATCCAAAATATATAAGAAACTCCTACAACTTAGTAGCAGATATAAAACCAATAAACTTATTTAAAAATTAGTAAGACACCTGAATAAACATTTCTCCAAAAAAGACATACAAATGGACAACAGTATATGAGATGCTGCTCAACAGGAAAATGCAAACCAAAACCATAAGAAAAAATCACCTCACATCTCTTAGGTTGGCTATTATTAAATATAAAAGAAGGAAAATAAAATAAATGTTGACGAGTATGTAGAGAGAACAAACCCTTGTACACTATTGGTATGAATGTAAATTAGTATAGCTACTATGAAGGATTCTCAAAAAATTAAAAGCAGAACTACCATATGATCCATGAATACTACTTCTGAATATATTACCCTAAAGAATTGAAATCAGAGTTTTACAGAAATATCTGCATTCTTTCACTTACTTCAGCACTATTTATAATGATCAAGACATGGAAAGAACCTAAATATCCATCAACAGATGAATGGATAAAGAAAATGTGACCTATACATAAAATGGAATATTATTCAGCCTTAAAAAAGAACAAAATCTTACCATTTGCTACAATGTAAATAAACTTGGAGGATAGCATTCTATGTGAAATAAGACAGACACAGAAGAACAAATACTATATGAATTCATTTATATGAGATATCTAAAACAGGCAAATTCATAGAGGCAAAAAATAGAATGGTGGTTACCAGGGGCTGGGGTATAGTGTGGATAAGGGACGTGTTGGTCAAAGAGTACATACTTTCAGTTAGGCTATATGAATAAGTCCTAGAGATTTGCTATACAGAATAGCACATGTAGTCATCAATACTGTATTGTGTAATTAAAAATTGGTGAAAAGAGTAGATCTTATGTTAAATATCCTTATCACAAAAAAAGAGGGGAAACTTTTATAGGTTTTGACTAAGTTTATGGCATTGTTTATGGTGATAATTTTATAGGCATATACTTATCTTCAAACTCACCAAGATGTATATATAAAATATGTACAGCGTTTTTTTGTACATGAACCAAATCTAAATAAAAAATAGGAGTTTTATGGTTTTATGTGCCCAAACTGTTATATGCAATTGAATTGCAAAATAATCTAAGCCTGATCTCTTTTTAAAGAAATTGGTTTTAAATTGCATTTAAATTGCCTTTGCTCTGTCTTCTGAGATTACTTTAACGTCTAGATATTTTACCATTTCCTCAGTCAGTTTTGGTAATTATATTTGCAGTGAAATAAATTAATTTTTCCAGATTTTAGATCCACATTAATTTTTTAAAATTTTAATTAACACATAATTGTACATATTTATGAGATGCAGTGTAATATTTTGATACGTACAATGTGTAATGATTACATCAGAGGAATTAGCATTTCCATCACCTCAAACATTTACTGTTTCCTTGTGTTGGGAATGTGACAATTCTTTTATTCTAGCTATTTAAAAATATACAATAAATTGGCCAGGCATGGTGGCTCATGCCTATAATCCCAGCACTTTGTGAGGCCGAGGCGGGCAGATCACGAGGTCAGGAGATAGAGACTCTCCCGGCTAACACGGTGAAACCCTGTCTCTACTAAAAATACAAAAAATTAGCCAGGCGTGTTGGCACACATCTGTAGTCCCAGTTATTTGGGAGGCTGAGGCAGGAGAATCGCTTGAACCCGGAAGGCAGAGGTTGCAGTGAGCTGAGATCACACCACTGTGCTCCAACCTGAGCGACAGAGCAAGACTCCATCTCAAAAACAAAACAAAACAAAACAAAACAAACAAACAAAACTACCGGGTCTGACCCGCAGACCCTGGCCAAACAATGGATGAACAAATGCACTCAGACACAGATACCCAGTGAAAGAGAGGGCTAGGGGACCCAGCTGCTTACAGACCCCAAGGAGGGTGCTGTAAAGAGTCAGCAGCCCAGCCTTGACCAGCTGGTGCTGTGGGCATTTATTCAGTATATATTTAATGACAAAGGCCTTGAGTCAATACACTTGTGGGTAATTGTGCATGGATGATTAATGGCCAGGTTTCTGGAGTCATGAGTAAATAAGCTATTCAGATAAACTCCCCTGCATTCTTTTGTACCTACTTCATGCCCTTTGCCCCAGGATAAGAACTAGGGCCTTCGGCTCATTCTTCCCCAAAGCTTTGCAAAGCCCTTCCTACAATTTCTCCCACTACCCTGACAGATCTCCTACAAAATGCAATAAGTTATAGTTAATTATAGTAACCCTACAGGGCTGTAGAGTTCTAGAACTTATTCCTCCTATCTACCTGTAACTTGTATTTTCTTAACCAACATCTTCGTATTTCCTGCTCTTTTCCGTCCCAGCATCTAGTAACTACTATTGTACTTTCTACTTCAATGTGAGAACTTTTTTTTACCTCCAACGTATAAGACAGAATATGCAGTATTTATCTTTCTGTGCCTGGTTTATTTCACTTAACATAATGTCCTCCAGTTCCATCCATGTTGCCACAAATGAAGGATTTTATTCTTATGGCTGAAGAGTATTTCATTGTCTATATATACCATATTTTATTTACCCATTCATCTGTTGATGGACACTTAGGTTGATTCTAAATCTTGGCTATTGTGAAGAGTGCTGCAATAAACATGGGAGTGCAGATATCTGTTCCTTTGGATACATACTCAGTAGCGGAATTGCTGGTTAATATGGTAGTTCCAGTTTTAGTTTTTTTGAGGAACCTCCATATTGTTTTCCATGTCGGGTGTACTATTTTACATTGCTACTGACAGTATGAAAGCATTCCTGTTTTTCCATATTATCATCAGCATTTGTTAGTTTTTGTCTTTGATAATAGCCATTCTAACTGTGTCGAGATAATTTTTCCTTGCAGTTTTGATTTGCATTTCCTGATAATTAAGAATGTTGCACATTCTTTAATATACTTATTGGTCATTTGTATGTCTTCATTTGAGAAATGTCTATTTGATTATTTGTGTATTTCATAATTGAATTATTTGTATTTTTTGCTGTTGAGTTCTGTTTATATCCTGAATATTAATCTCTTGTCAGATAAATATTTTGCAAATATATTTTTTTCTATTCTTCAGGTTTTGCCTTCACTCTGTGGATTGTTTCCTTTGCTGTGCAGAAGTGTTTTAGTTTGATGTAACCCCATTTGTCAGTTTTCCCTTTTGTTGCTTGTACTTCTGAGGTCTTATTCAGACATTTTTTTTTCCAGACCAGTGTCCTAAAGCATTTTACCTATGTGTCCTCCTAGTTGTTTTATAGTTTTGATTCTCATGTTAAGTCTTTAATCCATTTTTTAAATATTTTTAGAGATGAGAGATGGGGTCACACTCTGTTGCTCAGAATGCAGTGCAGTGACTAGCCAGCCACAAGTACAATCATAGAGCACTACAGCTTCAAGCTTCTAGGCTCAAGTGATTCTCCTGCTTCAATCTCTTGAGTAGCTGGGACTACAAGCTTATGCTACTGCACCCAGCTTTTTAATCCATTTTGAGTCGATTTTTGTATGAGGTGAGAGACAGGAGTCTAGTTTCATTCTTCTGCGTATGGATTTCTTGTTTTCCTAGCACCATTTATTAAAAAGATTGTCCTTTCCATAATGTATGTTCTTGGTGCCATTGTGAAAAGTCAGTTGGCTGTCAACACATGGATTTATTTCTAGATTCTCTATTCTGTTCCATTGGTGTATTTGTCTCTTTTTATATCAGTACTATGCTGTTTTTAGTTACTTCAGCTTTGTGTAGAATATTTTAAAGTCAATTTTGGTAATTTATATTTGAAATAAAATAATTTCCTCCAGATTTCAAAATTTCTTGAATAATGTTCCACATTTAAAATGTTTCAGTAACTTCAAAATCTGTGAGTATATTGTCTTTCTCATCCCTTATTTGACATGTTTTTAACTGTTTTTCTTATCTTACTCTTCAGAGTTTCCTATTTCATTCTTATTTTTCAAGAATTAACTTTTGTTTTCACTTGCCATTTCTTCAAATTTTAAAAACAAATTTTAGAGAATTTAGTTCCAAAACAGTAGTGTGAGAAGTTTTCCCCAAAACAAGAACCATAACTGGTATAAATTATTTAATAACAAATATTTAAAGTGTCTGAAAATTATTCTAGAGGCATACTGTAAGTTTGAAAACAAAAATTTTTTTTCAAGAAAATTTACTAAATCTTGGCAAGAACAGACCATGCTTGTGGCATTTGAACTATAACCCACTCCCTCACCTCAATTCCAGCTTATAATAACAGGAGGCATACTTATGGTGGGGTCGCCCAAGAACTCAGGGTTCTCTCTCCCTCAACTTCCAGTCTAGAGTTACAGTGTATTCCAGGGATGAGGAGCCCACCACCATTTCTTTTTCTCTCAGCTCTGTGTTACATACAGATGCTCTATTCCAAACAATAGCATCTAAAAGTTCTGAGGCTCTCTTCTACTATCCAGTCACCACTCATAAGATATAAGCTCTTCTCCAGGTGTGGAAGATGAAGGATACCGGGGTCCATTTGTCTTCACTTCAAATTACTCCTAAAGTGAGGATTTCACACTAAAGAAGGCAAACTGAGATAATCAGAAGCTACCACCTACCACCTTGGTCAGAAAGCAGGTGTGCCTCTATGGTAGTAATGAGTCACTGTCATCATAGCAAGTTCTGGAGAAGTGGCTCAAAAATTGTACACAGGGAAGGAGGCAGGTTGTAAGAACAGAAAACTGTGAAGCTCATCCAAAGTTATAAGACTATATTTAGAACAGACTGTGTAGAAGTTCAAGCCTAAGGGTAAGTTAAGGTAATGGAAAGTTTGGTCATAAGCAATTAAGAGGAAACTTTTGGCTCCATGAGAGCAACAAGACAAACTGTAGACCATGTAGAACTTTACCAGACAACCAGAGAAAATGGTAGCTAATAAGACACTTCCTGGGATTATAAGAAACGTCAAAGACCATCCTCAAAAACTATACCTGTAAAGGGAACAGCATGTAATTTAATCAATCAGTGGAGCAATTTATGCCTTTGAGTATTGTTAAACCCAATAAAGGAATCAAATGGGAAGTTGAGGCTTACTTCCCAAATTTGATGGAAAACAATCTGGTGAACATTCAATTAAATGTTGCAAGGTAACATTTTCTTCTGAATGGTGTATCCCAAAGATTCACACCCACACACATAATAGCGAAACTGTTGAAAGCCCTATGCAAAGAGAAAATCTTGAAAGCAGCAAAAGAAAACTCATCATGTATAGGGGAACCCCAAAAAGATTAACAGCTGAATACTCACTGTAAACAATGAAGTGGAATGATTTATTTATAGTGCTAAAAAAATGCTATCAACCAGGAATTTTAAATCTTAGCAAAACTATATTATGAAAATAATGGCAAAGTAACAATATTCCCAGATAAACAGAAACTAAAAGAAAAAATTGCTGGCCAAGCACAGCGGCTCAACGCCTGTAATCCCAGCACTTTGGGAGGCCGAGGCAGGTGGGTCACCTGAGGTTGAGAGTTTGAGACCAGCCTGACCACCATGGAGAAACTCTGCCTCTACTAAAAACAAAAGATACAAAATTAGCCGGGCGTGGTGGCACGTGCCTGTAATCCCAGCTACTTGGTATGCTGAGGCAGGAGAATCGCTTGAACCCGGCAGGCAAAGGTTGCAGTGAGCCAAGATCATGCCATTGCACTCCAGCCTGGGCAATAAGAACAAAACTCTGTCTCAAAAAAAAAAAAATTGCTACTAGCAGTCTCACCTAAAAAAAATACTTAAAGAAATTCTTCAGTCTGCAAGCAAGTGACTCCAGGAAGAAATGCGAATTAATTTTAAAGCATATAGAGTGCTGGTAAAGGTAACTATGTACATATTGTAAAAGAAAGTATAATAGCATATTTCTTCTTTTCTTAATAGTTTTAAAAAACAATTGCATAAAAATGTATATAAATTATTGTTCTACAATATGTAGAAATTCAACATATTTTCCAATAGCAGCACAAAGCAGGTGAGTAGGAGCAAAGTTGCATTGAATTAAGGGGAGAACACCAAGGTGGTAGCTCACACCCACAGGAACAAATGAAAGGAAGCAGAAATTTTGATAAGAAAGTTGATATAGTGAACTCTTTAAAGATGTATTCTATTCTCGTCTCTCTTCTTTAAAAGACATAAAATCATATAAAGTAAAAATTGTAACAATGTATTTTTGGATTTATAACATAGATGTAGTAACAATAATAGTACAAAATGTGGGGAAAATAATAGAGTTCTATAGGAATAACATTTCTATTTCTATTTTTAACTTATTTTGTATAAATTTGAAGTAGATTTTCATAAGTTAGGATGTATAGTAAACTCTAGAGGAACTACTAAAAATACTCAAAAATGTATTGAAAAAATCATTAAAGGAACTAAAATGTTACAACAGACAATATTTACTGAATGCCAAACAATGTAGTAAAAAAAAGAACAGAGCCACAAAAAAAAGATGAAACATATAGAAAACATCAAGTTAAATGCCAGATATAAACCGAATTAGATCAATAAAATCAATGATTGTAAATTGATTGAAGAATCAAATAAAACAGCAAAGATAGGGTTTTTCATCCCCAAGGGGTCAGATTAGCAGTATTGTTAGCATGCCTCTCTCACTTGTAAAACAAAATAGTGTGTACAGGTTCATGTTTTGAAATTTTTTCCAAGAAGCAACACAAGAAATTAACAGAAAAACTGAACAAAACCACAGACTCTTTGAAAGAAGCAGCAGGCAGCAGCCTACAATATGAACCAGAAGGAAAACCGTGAGTCTCCACTGCATGAAATATGGAGACACTGCTGCTATGACATACACTCCCACAAAGTAGCTGGGCAATCCTGGCCATGCGGGAAGGCCATAACTCTATCCCACACTGGAACTGATTTAGTGAACAGTGGAGAATATATGAGAAGCAGCATGCTTTGTTTGCACTCTTAGAATCCAGTGAGGATGGAGAGAAGCCATTTCTGTTCCTACCTCTCAGGGGACCTCATGGAAGTCTGCCAGCTAGCTCAGGCTGCAGTCCAGAGACACTCCCAACAAGAGATTTGCGATGTAATCTTGAGTGGGGATGAATACCATTGGCCAGAACCGAGGGGAGAGCAGGAAGTGTGCTACAGCCATAGGTGCAGGAGTTCCGTGACCCTGGGTGTCACTGCTTCATGGGCATATAGAGAGCGGCATGGCCTGAAGCCACAGTTTCAGTCTTCCTGGGAAAAGGCTTATGGCCTGGGGCAGTTTTGAGTTCTGAGCTCAGGCTACCTGGAATCCAGATAGCTGTTGTTGGCATAACTCTGGATATGAGAACTGCCCTGCCAAGTGTGTAGTAGCTGAGTGGGGCTTACTGCCACCTGCTGTACCCTGCTCTTAGTGCAGATTCTTCCGTGCAACAGAGGTAGTTGTGCTCCTCCCTGGAACATTACTCCAGCAGCCAGGGAACTGCCATCTAATCTCCATTAGGACAACTGCTTGTGGCTGCACGTTGGGAGCCAGAGGACAGCCCTGCCTGACACACCCCCAACCCAGCTTTGTCCCTTCACCACCCTGGTAGTGTAACATGATGGACGGGGATATTTGGGATATCCATTGCCCTGCTTATTGCCTGAGGCACCAGAGTACCTCCCGTGGGTAACATGAAGCAAGAACACATTCTACTGTTCTCGGTGTAGGTGGTCCTCTTTTGCACCTGCCACCTCCTGGCTAGAGGCCAACCAGCAAAGCCCATTACATCTGCAGGCACAGTAACACAGCACTCAAGAAGAAGACATTTGCATAACCTCAGCTATTTCCAATGCCTGCATCACCCTGATGAACAAGAGATCTTGAGTCTGCATGTGAATACTACTACTGCTGGCATTTGAGAAAGCCAGCATGCTAAGGCTATTTATAATTAAGGAAATCTGAGAGTCTACATCATTCACCTCCAACCTGCATCAGAGAGGGTGCTTGTAAACACTGCTGGGAGACTTGAGGACAGGTCACATCACCAGATCCCTTGCAGACATTTCTCAGCACTGGCCTAGAGTGTGGCAGCCCAACTGGGTAGCTAGGCCCAGAGAAGCAACAGGATTCACAGTAGTCTTGCACTCAGGGACTGCTAATCCTAGTGAATGGGGAGAATACCACATTAAGGGAGCACCCAATTGGATAAAAGAAACCAGACCAAAGGCTTTGCATCTCTGAATTTTCCATGTGTGGGAAGTTTTCTTCAGTGGAGGCACAAGTGCAATGCTGGGCTCAGTGGGAAAAGACTGTGGTTTGGTTCCAACAGTTAAGCACCCATCATTCTTGTGTAGGATCTGGGAGGAGGAGACTTATTCTCCCCCTTACCCACCACTGCAGTTACAACTCAGGTGTCTACCATGGGAAATTGTCATGGGCCCATCTGCAGGCAGCCTTTCTGGATCACTTCAGGGTGACTGCATCCCCAAAGGAAATGTGCCTTACAGGTTCAGCTTGCACTATAGGTAAAGGCAAAATCTCTATCTTCATGGAACAGCAGCCTTCCTATAGATGAATAGAGGTGCCTGCCTTATCTGAATAGCCAGAACACTGATCAGGAATGTAATTGAGAGGCAAATTGTTTTTCTGAGGCCTGGAAGAAGAGCTGCGGTAGCTTCCTCTCTTCCCCCTTAAAATACCACATTGCATTTTACTGAGAATTTTCATAGCAACATCTCTAAAAGCTGGGACCTCTTCCCACCATTGGGGTATTTGCATTTACTCACCTGCTTTAGCCACTGCTGAGTTTTATCCTTGGGCAACTCCTACTGGCCTGAGTTCTGAACTGTCCAACCCAGTGAAAAAAATATTGGGGAAAAAGGTTAAAAATGCACACCACTGGGAAACAAGATAAGCTTCATGAGGCCTCTGCCACTTCAGCCAAACAGGAGACAGTGAACCTTCTCGTACACCCAGCATAACACTAACACAACCAGCGTCAGAGAAGACATGACACAAAATTTGTCTATAACTAAGGAACTCAAATTGAGACTTCTCCAATGAAATCACCCAGAGTCAAAACTAGGTGACAATAAACTATAAACATTAATGTCACATCCTCAAGGGGAAAAAAATAGAAAACCTAGTTGAATAAAAAATAAATTCAAAATAATGAAAAGAAAAGGTTTACCCAAATGAGAAGGAACCAAATAAGTATTTCTAGCAATATGAAAAAACAAGATCCTATATAATTCCTTCTCCCCAAATAACTCTCCAGCAGTAGATCCAAATCAAAATAAAATATTTGGAATACCAGATAAAAATTCAAAAGTTTGGTTACTAACTTACTTGAGGACAGAAGAGAAAGGTTAAAACCAACTTAAAGAATTTTTTTTTTTAATTCAGGATCCAAATAAAAAATTTTCTAAAGAGATAGCTACTTTGAAGAAAAACCAATCAGACCTTCTGGAAATAGAAGAAACAATTAGGGAAATACAAACTGCAATGGAAAGTTTTAACATTCAACTAGAACAAGTAGAAGAAGAAATTTCAGAGATCAAAGACAAGGCATTCAAATTAATGCAAACAGACAAAAAAATTTTTAAAAAGAATTAAAAGAAATTAACAACATCTGCAAGAAAAATGGGATTATGTAAAATGCCCAAATCTAAGAATTATAGGTGTTCTTAGGGAAAAGAAAAAGCAAAATGTTTGACAAACCTATTTGAGGAAATAATTAAGACAAACTTTCCTCGTCTCCCTAGAGTTTTTAGACACACAAATATAAGAAGCTTAAACTCCTGTGAGACTTATTGAGAAAAGGGCATCACAAGCTATCTTATCAGTTATCAGGCTATCTAAAATCCATGTGAAAGAAAGAATTCTAAGAGCAATGAGACAAAAACGCCAGGTAACCTAAAAGGAAAACTATCAGACTAACTGCAGACTTCTCAGCAGAAACCTTACAAGCCAGAAGTGATTGTAGTCCTATCTTTAATCTCCTTAAACTGAATAACTGTAAGCCAAGAATTTTGTATCCAGCAAAACTATTTTATAAATGAAGATGAAATAAAGTTTTTCTCAGACAAGCAAATACTGAGGAAATTTGTCAATGTTATATCAGTTTTACAATAAATTCTAAAAGGAGTTCTACATCTTCAAATAAAAGGTCAATACACACCAGAATAAAAACTCCTGAAAGCATAAAAACTACCAGTCTTAAAACAATACCACAATGAAGAAAACGAAGTTACTAGGTAAAAATCAACATGATGACTGGCATGGAACCTCTGAGCTCAGTATTTATGTAGAATTTAAATGGTCTAAATATTTCATTAAAAAAATACAGATAGACTAGCTGAAAATACGTAAACCAAATATCTGCTTTCTTCAGGAAATGTACCTAAGACATAAGGATTTTTATATACTCAAGGCAAAGGGGTGGAGAAAGATATTTCACACAAATTGAAACCAAAAATAAGCAGGAATAGCTGTTCTTTTGTAAGATAAAACAGACTTCAAAGCAACAACAGTTAAAAAAAAAAGACAAAGATGATCATTATATAATGAAGAAAGGATCAACTTGATAAGTAGATATCACAATTATAAATATATATACACTTAATCTCTGAGCTATCAGATTCATAAAACAATTACTACTAGACCTGAGTAAAGAGACCACAACACAATCACAGTGGGGGACTTCAGCACTCCATTGACTGCATGAGGTTGATAATTAAGGCAGAAAGTCAACAAAGAAACATTGGACTTAACCTGTACTCTAGAACAACTGGCTATAACAAACATTTACAGATCATTATATTCAAGTACTGTAGAATATACATTTTTCTCATCAGCACACAGAACATTCTCCAAGACAAACCATATTAAAGGACACACAACAAGCCTCAATAAATTCTTCAAAATCAAAATTTTTTATAGAAATATTCTATTTTTATTTCAAAATTATAAGGGAAAAGAATATTGTTTTAAAGATTTACTTTTAGTTCAGGGATACACGTTCAGGTTTGTTACATAGGTAAATGTGTCATGGGGGTTTGTTGTACAGATCATTTCATCACCCAGGTATTAAACCTAGTACCCATTTTTATTAGTCCATTTTCACACTGATGGTAAAGACCTACCCAAGACTGGGCGATTTACAAAAGAAAGAGGCTTAATGGACTTAGAGTTCAACGTGGCTGGAGAGGCCTCACAATCATGGCAGAAGTTGAAAGGCACTTCTAACATAGAGGCAGACAAGAAAAGAGAGCAAGAAAAGAGAAAAGAAACTCCCCCTTATATACTCTTCAGATCTCCAAGGTGTTTCCATATATCTGAAATGTAGGTGGTGGTTCCCAAACCCCAGTTCTTGACTTCTGTGCACTGGCAGGCTCAACACCACATGGAAGCTGCCAATGCTTGAGGCTTGCACCCTGTGCAGCCACAGTGAAAGCCCTATGTTGGCCCCTTTCAGCCACAGCTGGAGTGAATGGGACACAGAGCACCAATTCCCTAGGCTGCACACAGCACAGGGACTCTGGGTCTGGCCCATGAAACCACTTGTTCCTCCTAGGCCTCCAGGTCTATGATGAGAGGGTCTTTGTGAAGCCCTCTGAAATGCCCTGGAGACATTTTCTCCATTTTCTTAGGGATTAACCTTAGGCTACTTCTTACATATGCAAATTGCTGCAGCCAGCTTGAATTTCTCCTCAGAAAATTGGATTTTCTTTTCTTTTCCATTGTCGGGGTGCAAATTTTCTATACTTTTATGCTCTGTTTCCCTTTTAAAACTGAATGCCTTTGACAGCACCCAGGTCACCCCTTGAATGTTTTGATGCTTAGAAATTTCTTCCACCAGATACCCTGAATCATCTCTCTCAAGTTAAAAGTTCTACAAAACCCTAGGGCAGGGGCAAATACCACTAGTCTCTTTGCTAAAACATAACAAGAGTCATCATTGCTCCAGTTCCCAACAAGTTCCTCATTTCCATCTGAGATCACCTCAGCATGGAGTTTATTGTCCATATCATTATCAGCATTTTGGTCAAAGCCATTCACCAAGTCTCTAAGAAGTTCAAATTTTCCCACATTTTTCTGTCTTCTTCTGAGCCCTCCAAACTGTTCCAGCCCATTCCTGTTACACAGTTCCAAAGTCCCTTCCACATTTTCGGGTAACTTTTCAGCAGTGCCTTACTCTAGTGGTACCACACAATTTACCATATTAGTCTGTTTTCATGCTGCTCATAAAGACCTAGGTGAGACTGGGCAATTTACAAAAGAAAGAGGTTTAATGGACTTACATTTCCACGTGTCCGAGGAGGCCTCACAATCATGGCTGAAGGTGAAAGGCGCATTCTCACATGGCGGCAGAGAGAAGAGAGCTTGTGCAGGGAAACTTCCCCTTGTACACTCATCAGATCTTGTGAGACTTATTCACTATCACCAGAACAGCACAGGAAAGACCTGCCCCCATGATTCATTTACCTCCCACTGGGTCTCTCCCACCACACATGGGAATTCAAGATGAGATTTGGGTGGTGACACAGCCAAACCATATCACCATTAATTATTATTTTTCCTGATCTTCTCCCTCTTCCCAACCTCCACTTTTTGATAGGCCCTAGTGTGTGTTGTTTCCCTCTACATGTCCATGTATTCTCATCATTGAGCTCCCACTTGTGAGAACATCCTGTATTTGATTTTCTGTTCTTGTGTTAGTTTTCTAAGGATAATGGCCTCCAGCTGTTATCTTGGACATGGTTTCATTCATTTTTATGGCTGCATAGTATTTCATAAGGTATATGCATCATTTTATCTAGTCTACCATTGGTGGACATTTAGGTTGATTTCATGTCTTTGCTATTATGAATAGTGCTGTAATGAACATACACATGCATGTCTTTATAAGAGAATGATTGATATTCCTTTGGGTATGTATCCAGTAATGGGATTACTGGGTCACAAGGTATTTCTGTCTTTAGGTCTTTGAGAAATTGTCACTGTCTTCCACAATGGTTAAACTAATTTACCCTCCCATCAACAGTGTGTGAGCATTTCTTTCTATCCACAACCTTGCCAGCATCTGTTATTTTTGACTTTTTAATAATAGTCGTTCTCACTGCTGTGAGATGGTATCTCATTGTGATTTTGATTTGCATTTCTCTAATAATCAGTGATGTTGTGCTTTTTCTCATATGATTGTTGCCTGCATGTATGTCTTCTTTGGAAAATTTTCTGTTCTTGTCCATTGCCCACTTTTTATGAGGTTGTTTTTTACCTGTGCATTTGCTTAAGTTTAGACACTGGATATTAGACCTTTGTAGGATGGACAGTTTGAAAAAATGTTATCCCATTCTGTAGGATGTCTGTTTAGTCTGTTGGTAGTTTATTTTGCTGTGCAGAAGCTCTTTAATTTAATCATACTCCATTTGACAATTTTTGCTTTTGTTGCAATTGCTTTTAGAATCTTCGTCATAACATCTTTGTCCCTGCCTATGAACTGAATGGTATTGCCTACATTGTCTTACAGGGATTTTGTAGTTTTGGGTTTTACATTTGAGTCTTTAATGTATCTTGAGTTAGTTTTTATATATGGTGTAAGGAAGGAGTTCAGTTTTAATCTTCTGCATGTGGCTAGCCAGTTATCCCAGCACTATGTATTAAAGCGATAAGTATCTTAAATCACAGCAAAATAAAACTAGAAATCAATTGCAAAAGAAACACTCAAAACTATACAAATACATAAAAATTAAACAATCTGCTCCTAAATGATTATTGAATTAAAAATGAAATTAAGATGCAAATTTTTAAAACTATTCAAAATGAGTTATATAACTGACACAGTTATCAAAACCTCTGAGATATAGCAAAAGCAGTGCTAAGAGGAATGTTTATATTGCTAAATGCCTACATCAGAAAGTCTGAAAGATAACAATTCGACAACCTCATCTCACATCTCAAGGAACTAGAGAAACAAAAACAAATCGAACTCAAAACTTGTAGAAGAAAAGAAAAAACACATATCAGAGCACAACTAAATAAAATTGAAGCAAAATATGCAAAAGATCAATAGAACAAAAGCTGGTTCTTGGAAAAGATGAACAAAATTGACAAATTACTAGGTATATTAACTAAGAAAAAAAGAGAATATTCAAATAAGCTGAATAAGAAATGAAAATAAAGACATTACAATGTCACTACATAAATACAAAAGATCATTCGAACTGCTATGAGCACCTCTATGCAAACAAACTAGAAAATCCAGAGCTAATCGTTAGATTTCTGAAAACACATAATTCACCCTAGCTTAACTTAGGAAGAAACAGAAATTCTGAAGAAGCCAGTAACAAGCATTGAGATTGAAACAGTAATAAAACAAACAAACAAACAAACAAACAAACAGAAACTGCCAACAACAAAAGAATCCCAGGGCTAAATGCATTCAGAACTAAATTTTACTAGACACTTAAAGAAGAATTATTACCAATGCTACTGATATTATTTCAAAATATTGAGATGGAGGAACTCCTCCTTAACTGCTTTTTAGGAACCAGTATTACCCTAATCTTAAAATCAGAAAATGACAACAAAGGAAGGAAAACAAAGCTACAGAAAACATTCCTGGTTAACATAGACGCAAAAAACCTCAAGAAAATGCTAGCAAATGAAATTCAACAGCATGTCAAAAAATAATTTGCCAGGAACAAGTGGATTTCCTTTCAGGGACGAAGGGATGTTTTAACATATGCACGTCAATAAATATGATTCATCACATAAACAGAATTAAAAACAAAAATCATATGATCATCTCAATAGTTCCAGAAAAAGCATTTGATAAAATCTAGCATCTCTTTATCCCTCAACAAACTACACATAGAAATAACATACCTCAAAATATTAAAATAATTAAGTAAAATAATACAATAAAATGATAAAGTCCATATATGACAAACACACAGCCATCATCATACTTGACGTGGAAAAGGTGAAAGCATTTACCTTCAGAACTGGAACAAGACAAAGATGCCCACTTTCAGCACTTCTATTCAACATAGTACTGAAAGTCCTACCCAGAGCAATCAGGCAAGAGAAAGAAATAAAGAACATCCAAACTGACAAAAAAATGTAGGAAGTCAACCTACTTCTGTTGGCTGATAATATGACTTTATGCCTAGAAATCTCTAAAGATTCTGCCAGAAGATTCCTAAATCTGATAAATGAATTCAGTATTAGAGGTTGCAAGGTACTATTATCAGCTGAATTGCATACCCTTCAAGTTCATATGTTGAAGTCCTAACTTTGAGTACCTCAGAATGTGACTGTGTTTGGACTAAGGAACTTTAAAAACGAATTAAGTTAAAAATTAGGCCATTATGGTGGGTCCAATTCCAATGTGACTTGTCTTATAAGCAGGGGTTTGGAAACACAAAAGAGACACCAGGGATGTCTGTGCACTGAGGAAAAAAATGTTAAGAACATAGTGAGAAGACCATCATCTGTGAGCCAAGGAAAGAGGCCCCAAATACATCCAAAGCTTACCAACACCTTGATTGTGGACTTCAGGACTTCAGAACTGTGAGGAAATAAATTTCTGTTGTTTGAGCCACCTAGTCTGTGGTGTTTTGTGATGGCAGCATCAGCAAACTAAAACAGGCTAGAAAAATTTTAAAAAGGCATTCATATTGGAAAGGAAGAAGTAAACATCTGTATATGCAGAGGATATAACCTTGTATATATAAAAAAATTATACACACACACACACGCAGACACACACACACACACACACTCATAAAGAAGTTTAGCAAGATTGCAGGATACATGACCAATACATAGAAGTTAATGGTATATCTATGCACTAGCTATTAAAAACTTAAAAATAAAATTAAGAAAATAATTTCATTTGTAGTGGCATCAAAAACAATAAAATATCTAGGAATAAGTTTAACAAAAGGTGTACAAAATTGGCACTATGAAAACTACAAAACATCATTGAAAGAAAAATTTTGTAAAATAGCTAAAAAGAAATACATCCCATGTTTATTGATCAGAAGGCTTAATTGATCATAAGACATGTTAAAATGGTCAATATTCCCCAAAGTGATCAATAGTTAGAACAAAGTCTCTAACAAAATTTAAGCTGGCATTATTTTTGGCAAAAAAATTAAAAGCTTATTTTAAAGTTCTTATGAATGTTTTTAAAAAGATAGTTTGTAGAAAACAATTTTCAAAAAGATCAAAGATCAAGCAGCCAGAGAAAATATTGATATTTCCACTGCACATAAACTAAAGCAAATGTTCTGTTTCAAAGGACACTTTTAAGAACACGAAATGTAACCAGAGAATAAAGAAAAATGCATGTCATATATCTTATAATGATTTTGTGTCTAGAGTATATAAATAGCTCTTACAACTCAGCAATAAACATTCAAATAATCCAATTAAAAATGAACAAAGAATTTGAACATAAATTTATCCAAAGGAGATGTACAAATAGCCAATAAGCACATAAAAGAATGCTGACCACTCTTAATCAGTAGGGAAATGAAAGTCAAAAACACAACGAGAGACCACATAAAACTCATTAGGGTGGCTATAATCAAGAAGACTGACAATATCACATGTTAGTGAAAATGTAGAGAAATGTGAACCTTATGCATTGCTGGTGGGGATATATAATGGTACAGCCACTTTGAAAATTAGTGTTTGGCAGTTCTTCAGAGATTAGATAGGAAGTTACTATTTGACCCAGGTATTGCACTCCTAGGTATGTACCCAGAGAACTAATTCCATTTATCCACATTTTTGGTTTTTGTTTTTTGTTTTGTTTTGTTTTGTTTTTTGAGACCAGGTTTCACTCTGTCACACAGGCTAGAGTGCAGTGGTACAAAAATGGCTCACTGCAGCCTTGGCCTCATGGACTCAAGCAATCATCCTGCCTCAGCCTCCAATATAGCTGGGAACACAGGCACATGCCACCTTGCTCCCTATTTTATTTATTTATTTATTGTAGAGATGGGATTTCACTTTGCTGTCTAAGCTTGTCTCTAACTCCTGGGTTCAAGCAATACTCCCACCTTGGCCTCCCAAAGTGCTGAGATTATAGGCATGAGCCACCATGCCTGACCCTCACAAAAATTTGAATGTGGATATTCACAGCAGCATTACTCATAATTTAAAAAGTGGGAATAACACAAATTTCTATCAACAGAGGAATGGGTAAACATAATGTTGTTTTTCCATACAATGGAATATTATTCAGCCTTAATAGTGATAAACTACTATTAGGTTGGTGCAAATGTAATTGTGATTTTTGCATTGTTGAAATCTGTGATTTGATATTGGAATACATTTTTAAATAAGTGTTGTTATGTTATACATTATTTTAATGCACATTTCTCGCTTTGTTTTTTTGCTAATGACTTATTACTTGCAGTTTATTTTATATTTATTTTAAACTATTGAAATAATGTTAGACAAAAAGCAAATTTGAGTGATTTTTTATTCAAGTTCAAAATAGGTCATAAGGCAGTGGAGACAAATCGCAACATCAACAACGCATTTGGCCCAGGAACTGGTAATGAACATACAGTGGTGGTTCAAGAAGTTTTGCAAGGAAGATGAGAGCCTTGGCGATTTGGAGCACAGTGGTCAGCCATCAGAAGTTGACAATGACCAAATGAGAGCAATCATCGAAGCTGATCCTCTTACAACTACATGAAAAGTTGCTGAAGGACTCAGCGTCGACCATCCTACTGTCATTCGGCATTTGAAGCAAATTGGAAAGGTGAAAAGACTCGACAAGTGTGTGCCTCATGAGCTGGGCAAAAATAAAAAAGAATTGTTTTGAAGTGTCATCTTCTTTTATTCTACGCAACAACAAACCATTTCTCTATTGGATTGTGATGTGCAATGAAAAGTGAATTTTATATGACAACCGGTGACCACCAGCTCAGTGGTTGGACTGAGAAGAAACTCCACAGTACTTCCCAAAGCCAAACTTGCACCAAAAAAAGGTCATGGTCAGTTTGTTGATCTGCTGCCTGTCTCATCTGCTGCAGCTTTTTGAATCCCAGCAAAACCATTACATCTGAGAAGTATGCTCAGCAAATTGATGAGATGCACCGAAAACTACAATGCCTGCAACAGGCATTGGTTAACAGAAAAGGCCAAATTCTTCTCCATGACAACACTCAACTGCAGCTTGTGCAACCAAGCTTCAAAAGTTTAACGAATTGGGCTACAAAGTTTTGCCTCATCCATCATATTCAACTGGCCTCTCCCCAACTGACTACCACTTCTTCAAGCATCTCGACAACTTTTTGCATGGAAAATGCTTCCTCTACCAGCAAGATGCAGAAAATGCCTTCCAAGAGTTCATTGAATCCCAAAGCACAGATTTTTATGTTACAGGAATAAACATACTTATTTCTTGTTGGCAAAAATGAGCTGATTGTAATGGTTTCTATTTTGATTAATAAAAGTGTGCTTAAGCCTAGTTATAATGATTTAAAATTCATGGTCCAAATCCACAATTACTTTTGCACCAACCTAATCATACATGCTACAACATGAATTAACCTTGTAAACGTTATGATAAATGAAAGAAGCCAATCACAAAAGACCACATATTGTGATTCCAATTATATAAAACATCCACAATTTGTAAATCTGTAACAGAAAGAAGATTATTGGTTGCATAGGGTTTGGACCGGGGGATGTAGAGTAGTGACTTTTTGTTGGCAAAAGATTTCTTTTAGGGATGAGGAAATGTGTTCTGGAGTTAAATAGTACTGATGGTTGCTCAACTTTTTGAATATACTGAAACCACTTCATTGTTCACCTTAAGCAGATGCATTTTGTGATACATGAATTACATCTCAGGGAAAAACAGATTGCGTGAAACAGAAAAAGACCTTGGGGATATGATGAGAACCCAGCATAATTGAAAATAGAAGCAACAGCTAGAGCTGTAGAAGAAAAACCAGACACATTTGGTGTCATACAAGTCAAGTGAAGAAAAATTTGCATGATGTGGATGCTTAAACTATGTCAAATGTTTCTGAATACTTCAGTAAGAATTGAGAAACTTGCCATTGCATTTAGCAGCATGGTGTGATAGGTTACCTTGGTAAGGGAAATTTGGTACAGTTGTGGGACAAATAGCTGATTAGAGATCAATCAATGGCTTAATTAGAGACATTGATTAAAAACAGCTCCCCTAAAGAGTTTTTTGGAAGGGGAAAGATAAAAAAGGAATAGGAACTGGAGGCTGAAATAAGGTCAGGAAATAACTTTTTAAGTAGCAGTAACAATTACACATTTTAATGGTGATAAGAATGTACAGTAAAGATACAAAAGCTAATGACAGAAGATAGGGGAAGACTGTTGAAGCAATTTGTTTAAATAGGCAACAGAGGATTTGATCCAATGCACATCTATGGTGACTGACCTTAAATTAGAGTTTCAACAGGTCATTGATAAAAACAGGAGAGGAAGAAGACTACATAGTCAGAGATGCAAGTAGTTGAAAGTAAGGATTGATGGTGAGAGCTGTGGAGATTCTATTTGTGTTGCTCTAATATTCTCACTGAAACAGGAAACAAGATCATCAGCTGTGAGAGAGTGGACTAATAATCTCCAAATTAGGAGAGAAAACAAATTAATACAATAGGGTTGTAGGCCAGCAGTAAGGTCCATTTGTGGTGAGAGACCATTAACTTAAATTTTTGGCATTTAACATAACCAAATACTCACATTTCATTGATATTATTTTCCTCTTCGGCTTCCAAAAAATTACTCTTGGTGTTTCCTTTACCTATAACATCTTCTCACTCTCAAGTCATCACATATTTGCCTCTTTTTATGATTCATATCTCATCTCTTCTCAAATGTCTTCTCACAAATACCTTCAAAAGTGGTTATGGTACTTACACTAAATCTGTTCCATATAGTCTAATTTATTCATGGCCTTCCACTCAGTTTAGCAGTGATTGGTTTTAATTAGGGCATACAACTTCATTTTGGCCAATAAAATAGTCAGCTGGAAGGCTCCTGAGATAGATTTTTCTCATTCTTAAAGAGGGATATGTCCTCCTCTTTCTAAGAATGTTGCTGTGTCCAGATGCAACGATGAAACTCTAGCAATAATTTTACTATCATCCTGAAGATAAAGACAAAAAACAACAATAGGAGAAAGCAATGGAAATACAAAGAAACAAATTCAGAGCTGAGATGTACCATATTAGAAACTTTCTTACCTCAGGATATCATGTAAAATAAAATAATGAAATTCTCATTTTGAAGCCATGTACATTAGGGTTTTTCTGTTATGTGGAGCTAAACTCATCTTAACTGATATACATCTTAGATAAAATAGCCTGTATCATATTACCTTCTTTGATTTTCCTTATTCATTTATCACCATCAGACATTCTGTTACAGGTGTCTGTGTGTTCTCGTTTGTTGTGTTTTGTCCCCAGTATATCATTAGATGGTAAGCTCCATAACAGAGACACTGCTTTTCTTGTCGACATTGTATTTTCATCACCTATAACAATGCTTGCTACATTATAGTCACTCACTAAATACTCATCAGATGCATGAACATTCTCTTTCAGGCCTCACTTATTTCCTTTCTTGTCTCACTAGCTCACTCCGGAAATACTTGTTTCCCTTGATTCTTTCCTTGGCTACTTCCTTCCTTACTAACAGTGTTGCAATTATAAATTTTTAGCCATAATGTGATGGTCATGGTCAGGTAAGGTATTTGAAAATGCCTATAAACATGGTGCCTCAAAGCAATAAAGAATGACAAACTCTTTGGTTCTTTAGGTGAGTGCTGTGGTCTGACTGTATCTTCCCCAAAATTTATATGTTGAAACCTAACCACCACACTGATAGTATTCATGGCTGAGGTCTTTAGGAGGTAATTAGGTCATTAAAGCTTTGCCTCATGAATGGAATTAGTGCCCTTATAAAAGAGGCCTGAGGAAGACTTTAACCCCTTTTGTCATGTTAGGACACAAAGAAGGTGCCATTCAAGAGGAACAGGCTCTCATCAGACACAGAATCTGCTGGTGCCTTGTTCTTGGATTCCCCAGCCTCCAGAACTATGGTCAATAAATTTGTTTCTTATAAATTACTCAGTTTAAGATATTTTGTTATAGTAGCCCAAATAGACACAGAGAGATATTGGTTATAAGAAGTGGGGTGCTGCTGTAACAAATACATAAAAATATGAAAGCACCTTGGAACTCGGTAATGGGTAAAGCCTGGAGGAATTTTGAAGTGTATGGTAGAAGCAGCCTGTACTGCTGTGAACTGACTAAAAAGGGAAATTCTGGTGAAGTCTTCAAATAAGAAGAGAGCTGTAGAGAAAACCTCAGTCTTCTTAGAAATTACCTAAGTGATCACCACCAGAATGTTTGTGACAGTGAAGGCCATTCTCATGAAATATCAGACTGAAATGAGGAAAGATTGTTAAAAGCTAGATGAAAGGTGATTCTTGATATAAACCAGCAAACAACTTGGCTGAATTATGTTCATATCATAGTGTTCCAGGGAAGGAGTTATGAAATAGAACATTTGGTAGAAGAAATCCTTAAGCAAACGGTTGAGGGTATGGCATGACTCTACTAGACTGCTTATAGTAAAATGTGAGAAAAAAGAAACAAAATTGGAATTCATAATCAAAAGGAAAGGGGGGCTTAAAGGTTTGGAAAATTCTCAGCCTGGCCATGTTTTAAAGAGTGGGAAAATGTTCAGGAAAGAACATCAAGGATGTGGCCAAGTGAGTGTTTAATAAGGAGATTAGTATGAATAGAAGGAAGCCAGATGCTTTGTATCAAGACAATGGAAGAATGATCCTAAAAGCATTTCAGAGATCTTCGGGATTGCACCACCCATTACAGGCCCAAAATGCCAGGGCTTTTGGGGCACAATGATGACAAAGTTCTACTCTCCACATTCCAGCAAAGCACTCTTTGGCCACCCCATCTGTGGCTCAAGCAGGCCCAGGTGCAGCTCTGGTTGCCCCTCTGGAAGGCACAGGTGTTAAACCATGGTAGCATCCACACAGTGTCATCTCCAGGAAGGTGCAACTTGCACAAGCTTTGGAAGCACGCCTACCTTCACCTGGATTTCAAAGGTTGCCCTGGAGAGCCTCAGGGCCCAGGCAAATAACTGCTAAAGTGGTAGAGCCACTGTAGAAATCCCCCATTAGGGCAATGACCGGTGAAACTATGAGGGCCACCAAAAAGAGCCCCTACTAGGGAAATACCCAGTGAAAAGATGGTTACAAGACTACCTTCACAACCTCAGATTAGTACAGCCACGGCCATGCGATTGCAGCCTGAAAGAGCTGCAGGCACCAACCTTCAACCCATGAGAGCTACATTGTGGGTCTTACCTAGCAAAGCCATAGAAGCAGGGCTGCCCAGAGTGTGGAGAACCCAACCCCCACCTCAATGTGTACAAAAGGCTGCACATGGAATCACATAAGTTTATTTTCAAGACTTAAGATTTAATGTTTACACTATTGGGTTTTGAAATTATTTGGGACTAGTTATGCTTTCTTTTTTCTTCTTTCTCTCTTTGGTGTAAGAACTATCTATCCAGTGTTAGTTCCACCATTATAGTTTGGGAGCACATAACTTGTGTAATTTCATAAATTCACAGCTGGAGAGAAATTTACTTCAGAATAAATCTTACCTTGAGTCTCACTTATATCTGATTTAAGTGATACTTAGATGAGACTTTGGATGAGATATTAAACTTCTGAGTTGATGCTCGAATGAGATAAGACCTTGGGGGCTATTAGAATGAAATGTATGTATTTTGCTTATGAGAAGGAAATGAATTTGTGGGTTCAGGAGCAGACTGCTGTGACTTAGAATATTTGTTTCCCCCCAAAATTCATATATTGAAACCTAACCACCGAGATGATGGTATTAAGAGTTGAGGTCTTTAGGAGGTGATTAAGTTTTGAGGGTTTTACCCCATAAATAGAATTAGTGCTCTCATAAAGGATGCTTTGAGGAGCCTTTTTGACACTTCCGCTGTGTGAGGAGACATAGAAGATATCATCCAAGAGGAAAGGGCTCTTATCAGACACAGAATCTGCTGGTGCCTTGCTCTTACAATTCCCAGTCTCCAGAACTGCTAGCAGTAAGTTTCTGCTATTTACAAGTTACCCAGTCTAAGTTATTTTATTACAGCATCCTAAATGGACTAAAATAGATGACCAGCACCCACAGCTTGTCAGGTGGTTAGATTTCAGATGTCTCAGGTCCGAAGCAATCTCTCCAAGTAGGATTGACTAGTTCATTTTCTTCATTTCACACTCTAGTTTAATGGGAAAAGGCAGTAGTCTAGTGAGGTGAATTATGTATAGGCTTCTCTCCACAGGAAAGATTTTCTCACTTTCTTCTTCACCATATAGTTCCTCCCCTCTCCAACTAATGTTCATAGATCACGTATTTCCACTATTCTTCACAGTATACCAAACACTAGCCTTATTTTATAAATGAGAAAAAAGATCAAAGGGTAAATATTGCACCGTGGTAACACAGCTTTCAAGTGGAGTAACTGAGAATTGAGTGTAGATTAGTATGATGGAAGAGCCTAAGAAATTAACCACTAATTAAACTGGAGACAAATAGAATTCTAGCTAAACCATCTACATACTGAAATAATACACTTCTCAGAACAGTAATATTGGATGAAACAGTATCATATTAGGCCTGACCTTATTTGGCAGATCTTGGTTAAGATGTTTCATTTTTTAAAAATTCAAATCTATATTAGTCAGGGTTTGAGAGAGAGAGAGAATGAGAGAAAGAAAGAAACAAAGGAAGAAAGGAAAGAGAAAAGATGAAGGAAAGAGAGAGGAAATAGAAAGAAAGGAAAGAGAGAAAGAAGAAAAGAAAAGAAAGAAAAAGAACAGTAGAGGAAGGGAGGATGGAAGTAAAGAAGGAAGAGACAGGAAGAAATAAAGAAATAAGCAGAAAGAAAAAGAGAGAAAGAAAGAAAGAGAAAAAAGAAGAAGAAAGATTAAAAGAAGGAAGAAGAAAGATTAAAGGAAAGAAAGAAAAGAAAGAAATTTCTTTTATGAAATTTTCTCATATGATTTAGGAGGCTGGCCAGCCCAAAGTCTGAACGGTAGGCTGGCAGGCTGGAGCCCCAGAGAAGTGTTAATGTTCAAGTCTGAAGGCAGTCTGCTTGCAGATTTCTCTCTTCCTTGATAGAAGTTTGTCTTTTTCTTTTTAAGGCCTTCAACTGATTGGACGAGTCCTACCTAAATTATGGAGGGTAATCTGCTTTACTCAAAGTCTACTGGTTTTACAGTTAATCTCATCTAAAAAGTGTCTTGACAACAATTCAGACAAGTGGTTGTGCAAATGTCTGATACGGTGGCCTACCCAAGTTAATACATAAAATTAACTGTCACAGAGTCTCAACACCCTTTCTTAGTTACCTAATAACTAATTAGTTGGTGCAGTTGACTCTATTAGAAATGCTACTATGACATTTGCTATCCCTGAGAGAGATAATGAAATTTTTCTAAATAAATGGTCTTATTTATTTATAATGGATCTTCCACTGTTTGCCATGATTTCCGAAATTTTCATTGCTAGTGGGACGTACCACACCACTCATTTCCTATTTAGTAAATTTGGAAAGGGAAACACATTTACTTAATATGTTTCTATTAATATTTTATTCTCAATTGTTTTATTAGAGACTGAGAGAGTAAAATAAAATGGGAAGGTGGTCATCTGTATGATAGGTAGGAATCTGAGGAAGGAGCATGTCCTGAATTGTACTACACTTCAAACTTAGGGAGGACAGGTGAGTCTCTGCTTCAGGGGTGAAGAGTAAATCCTGAGCATAAAGCAAAATGATTCCAAATGCTAACTTATACAGGTTAAAAATGTGCTGTCACTTACTCCTGAGAGCATGTGATGAGACAAGATACACTACCTCTGGAATCTTCCACACAAAAACCCATAACCCCAGTCTAAACACAAGAAAAATTATCATTAAAAATCTCAATTAAGGGACATTCTACAAAATACCCGACCAGTACTCTTCCAAACTGTCAAGGTCATTATCAACAAGGAAAGTCTAAGAAAGTGTCACAGTCCAGAGGGCCCTAAGAAGATACAATAAATAAATGTAATGTGGAATCCTGGATGGGATTCTGGAACCAGAAAAGGACTAATGTCCTTAATAGTAAAAATTAGGGCAATCTGAATAAACTATGGATTTCAGTTGATAATAATGTATAAACATTGGCTCATTAATTATAACAAATATGCCATGTTAAAAATAAGGAAAACTAAGAGCGAGGTTATTTGAGAACTCTGCATTATTATCACAATTTTTCTGTAAATCTAAAACTGTTCAAAAAAGCTTACAAAGAAAACATCATATGACCAGATTTCAGAACTAAATTGCTGACAAATTAAACTTTCATTTTTTCATTTTCTTCATTTATGTATCTTGCTTCTGTTTTACCCCAATTAACTTTAGAATACTTTAACAGATAAGAAAGGAGTTAAGCTAGTGCACAAATTAAACTTCGGTTGTTTTCATGCATGTGTTGATTCTCAGATACTCGAAATGGATATTAAATTTGTTACCCAATATACAGAAATAAAATTCTGAACTGAATTGCCTGCATCGGTATTGTCCTTGTTTTTATTTTTTGTTTTGAAGCAATTGCCATTTGTCCATCAACATTTTATAGTCAGTTTGGCCATTTCTGACAATAAGACCAATAACTTCAATGTCTTTAATCAAGCCAAATATTAGCTCACATATTTTTCCACTTGTTGAAAAAAAAGAAATTTGTAATACTCCTTTTCAGTAGGGTATTTTTCTCCTATTCAGAGTATGTTTTCACCATATGCACTTTCTCAGGTTCTAGAGTTCTTGCCAAGGTTATTATGATAATATCTATATATAACTTGGTGATTCTCAGTCAGCTTCACAAATTAAGTCACAACAACTTGTGAGATTTTTTTTTTCCCAAATGGCTGGAGTGAAGATGAGAAATAACACAAATTAACCTACACATATATTGTACTTCTTCTAAAACCCCAATCTCCTTTTTGCCAGAGGTTAAAATGTTGCTTGATTTAAATTTTCCTGTTTTTCTTTCTTCACCAGCTAACCCTTGGTGAAAATGAATAAATTAATATCACAATAATAAATATATGAGTGAGAAAAAATAATACAAAAAGCACTGGACTGTGCGGTATGTAATTCTTAATCAAAATTTGGGGCTAATAAAATTCTAAATGCAGTTACATATTTAGTGATACCTTGTAGTTTGAGAGGTTTCAATGAATTCTCTCCATTTAGCCAAAGTGAAAACAAAGCCAGGAGTAAAGTTATTTTGTTCCACAAATATTATCAACCATCTCCAGAAACTTATTTCACCTGGATCTCCTATGGTTGTACAGAGAAATCCTTAGGTAACTTTTACATTAAGTGAAGCAATAGATCTAATCTGGAATAAGTAAATATCACTTAAATCTTGTCTTGAATGATGCAAAATAAATGTTCAGAAACACTACAATAGTGTTCAGCAATTTTGAA